>NT_187632.1:0-186262 GCF_000001405.40 Homo sapiens
AATGTCATTTATGCTTGCTGAGTCCTGTGTAAGCCCCAAAGCCAAGCTTTTGCAAGCATAGGACTTAGGCACCTTTAAAAAGGAGTTGTTTACCTTCTACCCTCCTGAAGAGTGTGTAGGAGTTTCCCTTTGAGAATAACCACTGGTCCCTTCAGATGGCTTGGCTGCTTCTGCCAGGCTCTACTTTTGGAAATGCCCTTCATCGTGTCAGTCTCAGAATTAAAGACTTTCAGCATCTCCTCCCCATTGTCCAGGGATGAAGTCTGTTCTCCTTAGCTTGGCATTGAAGCTCTCTGTCTTCCATTCACCCTTCCAGTCCAACTGGCCTCCCCAAGAAGCCCCTGAATCTGCCTTGTACCAATGTTAATTTCTTCTCTGCCTCTCCAAATTTTGCCCATGTCTCAATACCCGGTACCATCAAGAGACATCACAGTTTTGGGCATTGAGATATATGAACACTGACAGTTCTCAGGGCAAGAAAACACACAGCACATGCCTCTCTATGGAGGCCACTCTATTCACCTGGATGCTTACAATGTAATCTATAGTTTGAATTTACAGGGCTCTTTCCAGATTATAATTCAATCTTAACTTCTCTGAGTCTAAATTTTTACATTGCTTTCTGAATCATCTTTGTTACCATTTTATTCTTAACAGGCTAAAGGAAGGGTTAATAGAGTAGTGCTAACAAATAGGATCTGGGTTTATAATCAGGCTTTTGTGATTTGAATCAAAGAAACACAAAAACTTAGTGTTTATCAGAGTGTAGTGCACTTATTCCTGGAGTTATGCGAGATCATTTTAGATGGCATAGAAACTATAAAGCACTTATAGAATGGATGTGTATTTATTTTGCTGTGCATTAGGAAAAAAAAAACACCTTACTATCGAGTCCATGGTTTAATGGATATTACCTGTGGCAAGGATTGCTGGCAATCTGTTAAAATCTGTCCCACCTTCCTTGGTACACGGCCAGATTACATTTTCCAGCCTTGGTTGCAATTAGATTGACCACGTGAATAAGTTCTCACCAATGGACTCTGAGTGGGAGTGAAGAGTGCCACAGCCAGGCCTGGCCCATACAAATGCTCCATGGTCACACTTCTGCTCCTGCCTGTTCCAGGTGATGGGGAATTGACACCTATGGCAACTTTAGAAACCATGAGTTAAGGATGGCAAAGACACCGTAGTCTAGATTAGGAGTGAGTAAACTAGAGCCTAAGGGCCAAATCTGGCCCACTGTCTTTTTAAAAATAAAGTTTTATTGAAGAACAGCCATGCCTGTTTGCATAGGTATTGTTTAAGGGCTACCTTCACTACCACAGCAGTTGTCACAGACAGCCCATGGCCTGCAAAGCCCGAAGTACGTACTATCTGGCCCTTTTATAGGGAAAGTTTGCTGACACCTTAATTTCAATCTCTGAATGACCATATGGAGGACAGCCACCTTATTGACCTGAACAACATTCTAGTCCTTTACCTAAGCGAAAAATAAGCCATTGAAATTCTGGGCCTATTTGCTACCATAGTCTACCCTGCTCTCACTAATAAGTCTTGCTCAGCAGTCTCAGGGTGATTGCCTGATGAATGTACATGACCCGACTTCCAGTTGTTTGAGCCAATGAGGCTGACTAGTTATGCCCACGGGAGTACAGGTCTCTTCTCTACGACCCACCACCAGGCCAAAATTTCCTCTAGATGCTCTGACCAGTCAGTCCTAGGACCTGATTGACTCCAGGGAGTCTGACCCCCTAAGTATAACACAACATCATGGGCCTGGGAAGGTATAAACATAATACAACTCCTGCCCAATGAACTGAATGTTAACAGGAAGATGTTCCCTGAAGCTCAAGGAAATGACTTTGGTGACAATGACCCTTGCCAGAGCCAATGCCTTGTCACCTACCTGGTGGTCATGATGGCGATCAAGGGTGTCCCTGCTTTCATGTAACTAACTTGCCTTCAATGGTTCGCTTTTCCCATTAAGTGACTTTTTTTCAGTTATATACTTTTGTAAACTAGAAGTGTTTTTACTGTCATTTCTTTATGTACTTTTTATTTTTACCATCAATTTAATTTAAAAAACTGCACTCACACATTTTCCATGCATACCTCTAATTATTGCAGGTTATACAGGTCTTGCACTTATGGAAATGGTATAAAGTCTCCTTTTTGAGTGAACATGTTGAAGTAAAAAGAGTTACTTCATTTAAAGAAAACTGCTCATAGAAGTACAGATGATACGCTGATAAGGCAAAAAACCACGATATTAGTATGAGAATAACTGAGGTTCCAGAAACACTGCATATGCCTAGGCTGCGGTGGAGAATGTCATAGAATCCTGGATTCATAGAGTGCAGAGCCACAGTGAAGGGTGCTTGAGAGAGCCCCTCCCCCAGAGCAACCCCGTCTTTCCACAAGGAATCCCCAAATGTCACCCAGTGGATTCTCAGACTTCTGTCTTCCAGTTCAGTGTTCTCCACCACAAAATCTACACCTGATCAATCCCATGGTTCACAGACAAAGCTGAGTAAGGGGCCCAGTAGGACATGGGCTTGCTGTGGCCCAATGCCTGCTCTAATATGTGCTTTCCATATATCTGCTGGGGTAAATTGATGGAGGTGGAGAGGTTTGGGGGAGTTCATTTGAAGCCCCCAGATATGCCCACTCTCCCAAGTCCTACCCAACTGCTTAGAAGTTAAGGCCAGTTCCTAGGATTTTACTCTGCACATCATGTAATTCCACATGGGAAACCAGAGGGTGTTCCCCAGAAAAAAGCAATAACCCCAACCAACTGCCACTTAAACAAGAGACATACTGCTTACAGCTGAAGTGGTGCCAGAGGTGTTACACGTATTAAACAAAAATGAGATCTATTGTGAGGCTTGGTATGCTCCAGCCTCACCCATCACAATCTGCAGAGTCATCACGAACCAGAAATTGGCTTCAGAGGCTGCAGCCAGACCCTGGCAAAACCCAGGAGTGGCCAAAAGATTCTCTGTTTGCAGAATTGGCTAGTGTCACAAGCGGGCATGTGATCGAGCAGTGGATCAAGAGAAGAACTAATCCTTACCTTTTATATTTTGCGAACACAGCACCGTAAAGTCTTCATAGGCCAAGAGCCAGGGCCGTTTCCCGGGTTGCAAAGGTCAGCTGGCTAGGGCAACAGGCAGGATGGTTAACAGGCACGTGTGTGTGCGTGTGTGTGTTGTGCTGAGTGAGTGAGACTAGCCTTGCGGATGTGTGGTGGTATTGTGGTGGACCTTTACTGGACACTCTGCCGGAAAACTGAAGTGGCACTTGTGCTTTAGTCCAGCTGGATATCCCTTTCACCCTGGCAATTCATCAACCAGAGGAAGGAAAAATAAGACGTCGTAAAGCGAGAGAAGTCCCTTATGAGTCTTTCGACTCTCACGTCTAATTAGGCGCAATTGGAGTCCCACGGGGAATACCAGATCAGTTTGAAGCCCGAAATCAAATAGCTGCAGGATTTGAGTCAATATTTTGGTGGGTGGACAATTAACCAAAATGCAGACTGGATAAACTACATCTATTACAACCAGCAGCGACTTATTAACTACACTAGAGATGCTGTTAAAGGAATAGCTGAGCAATTAGGGGCTACTACCAGATGGCTTGGGAAAATAGCCTTAGACATGATATTAGCAGAAAGGGGAGGGGTTTGCGTCATGATTAAAACTCAATGTTGCACCTTCATCCCAAACACCACCACCCCTAAGGGAAGTATAACAAAGGTATCGCAAGGTCGGACTGCTCTATCCAATGAGTTAGCCAGCAACTCAGGGGTAAATGACCCCTTTACAGGATGGCTAGAAAAGTAGTTCGGGAGGCCGAGGCAGGTGGATCATGAGGTCAGGAGTTTGAAACCAGCCTGGCCAACATGGTGAAACCCTGTCTCTACTAAAAATACAAAAAATTAGCCGGGCGTGGTGGTGCATGCCTGTAGTCCCAGCTACTCAAGAAGCTGAGGCAGAAGAATCTCTTGAACCCAAAGGCAGAGGTTGCAGTGAGCTAAGATTGCGCCATTGCACTCTAGCTTGGGTGACGAGTGAAACTCTGTCTCAAAAACAAAACAAAACAAAACAATGAAAAAACACCATAATGTGATACTACTTCAAATCCATTAGAATAGTCATTATTTAAAAAACAGCAACAGAAAATAACAAATGTTGGTGAAGATATTGAGAAATTGCAACCCTTGTGCATCGCTGGTAGGAATGTAAAATGGTGCAGACACAGTGGAGAACAACATGACAATTCTTCAAAAAATTAAACAAAGAATTACATATGATCTAGCAATTCTACCTCTGGCATATACCCCAAATAACTGAAAACAGGGACTTGAACAGATATTTCTACAACTATGTTCATCGCAGCATTATAGCCAATAGCCAATTGTAGTCAATAGCCCATTGTTCATTGCACAATAGCCAAAAGGTGGAAACAATGCAAATGTCCGTTAATGAATAAATGGATAAACAAAACATAATATATACATACAATGGAACATTATTCGGCCTTAAAAAAGAAGGAAATTCTGATGTATAGTATAGCATATAGGAACCCTGAGACCTTATGCTATGTGAAATAAGCCAGCCAAAAGGACAAACATTTGTATGATTCCATTTGCATTGGGTAACCAAAGTCACTAAAGTAGCTAAAAAGTCACAGAGACAGAAAGTGGAATGGTGGTTATTGGGGTCTGGGGGAAGGAGGTGTGAGGAGTTATTTTTAATAGGTACTGAGTTTCAGTTTGGGATGATAAAAACATTCTGAAGATGTATAGTGGTGATGGTTGTACAACAATGTGAATGTATTTAATGCCATTGAACTATACACTTAAAATGGTTAAAATGGTAAATTTTTTATTAAGCATATTTAACCACAATTTTTAAAATTTAAAAAAGTATGCCATTTTATTTATAAATATTTGTGAATTTTCCAGATTTCCTTTTGTTCTTGATTTCTAATTTCATTCTCTTGTGGTTGAAGAAGATACTCTGCATGATTTCCATCCTTTTATATTTATTGGGATTTGTTTGGTGGCCTAACATATGGTTTATTCTGGAGGATATTGCATGTGCACTTGAGAAGAATGTAGAATCTGATATTACAGGGTGGAGTATTCGGCTGCATTTAAAATAGTTGATTTGAAGTCTATTACTTTAGGAGTTCCATTACTCCTTACAGCTAAAATGTTTGTTCCATTACTACGTATGGCTAAGATGTTGGGGAAGACATTTCCAGAAAGAAAAAATCCTGGGGGACGGCCCCCAGAAAATTATAGGGAGATGGGAATTTTCTACCTGGTCCTGAAGAGCAGGCAGGAATGGAAACAACAACTGATCAACATTCCCAGACTCTGAAAGGCAGGTGAATGGCACAGCTCACCATGGTACAGTTCCATCCACACACACCTGGGAATGCCCTCTCCATGAGGAAACAGAGGCAGAGGAGGCAGCCAGTCAGTAGACAACATGGATCTCCTTGGCCATCAACCTCGCTGGGCTGTCGTCCTGAAGCGGGGTGCTCAGAGACTCACCTCTATGATACTGAGCTGTGATCAGCTTAGGGATCACAAAGAACACATCTCCAAGCAAGTCCAGAAGACTGTCTCGGATTTCAGTCAGGGAGTGCTTGTCATGGAAGTATTCACCAGCCACAAGGTGCAAATAATTGGGCAGGATGTGCTGTAAAAAAATCATAGTCATAGGAGATCCAGGTCAACCACAATGGCCAACACGTTAACTCTGCAGGTATGATTCTGAATGCTTTACCCACATTGCTTCATTTAACCCACACAGCAACCCTGTGATGCAAGTATCAAAACTAGCCCCATTTCTCAGATTAAGAAACTGAGTCTTAGAGAGGTGAAGTCGTTGGGCCCACCTGGAAGAACCATGATTCTTTCAAAAGTGTATTTGCATCCAAATCTCATGCTCCTGGCCTCTCTCTTGTGTCTCAGAATGAGCCACTACTGGCTGCATCATCTGTGGAGCTCAGTGCAAAGTGAAGACATAGGCTCCTCGTTCACAAATCATTAAGAATTTCAAGATGGTGACAGCAGAGCATTCAACCAAATGTAGGACCCTTCTGAGCAACAAGGTCCTCTGTGACTACACAGGCAGAACATCCATGAAACCAGTCCTGCTCCGGTACCAGCGCTGCTTCCTGCACTTAGCTATTATCTTACCTAAGCTAGTTGGTCTCTTGGAGCCTCAGTTTCCTCATCTCTAGGGATGTGGAGGATTATAGAAGATATGAAGAGAAAAGCATGCTGCTTGACCCAGAGCACGTTTTCAGTCCTGTTGGTTCACCCAGGCCCCATTGCTGAGTGCCTTAATAGGACATCTGATGCTTCTCTGACCTGGCACCAGCCTGCCTCCCAGGCTTCTCCCTCTCAACTTTCCCCAAGCACAAATGGCAAAGAGTGCATGGTAAATTCTATGAAGATTCAGGGATCTGGTGCTCTGGGAAATGCTGGAAAGGTGTTGCAGCTCAAACCCCTACCACTAAGACAGCAGCACAGCCCTTGATGGGTTTCTTTGGAATTTGGAGGCGAGGCAGTGTACATAACATTCGGGAATGCTGCTCAGACTCGTGTATCGCGTCCTCAGGAGGCTAATGGTTTTTAATCAGGCCAGAGCAAGGGAGGCCTCTGCAGCAGGTCCAGTCTATGGTGTAAGGGCCTGGCCTCTTTGGCCATATAACCAGCAGACCCCATGGTGCCGGAGGTGTCCAAGGTGGGTACACATGCTGTGTGGAGTCTCAGGTAAGCCCCCATAGGACAGTCAGAGTGCAAAGTCCTAGGGTTCTGGAGCAAGGCTATGCCTTCTGTATCAGAGAACTACTTACTGTTTGAAAAGTAGCCCCTAGCATGCCACTGCGCCCAGGAGAGACACATGCCCTTCCATTCCTCTTGCACTTCCTTGCACAATCTACTTCCCACTCTACTTGAAATGTCCTTCTGCTCACTTGTTCCCCTCCCCTAAGGCTCAGATCATCGAGCACCTTCTCCATAAGGCCATCTCCAATCCACCTGAGAATTCCACTGTATGACTTACATCATCAATATCTCTCAACCTTAGTCCCAGTTCATCATCAGACAGCTGCAACTCATCAAACATCCCTCCACCAAGGGGGGCCTGAGGGATCTCTGCCTGTAGTGTTTCTGTTTTCCTTTTTTTTTTTTTTTTTTTTTTTTTTTGAGATAGTCTCTTGCCCTGTTGCCCAGGCTGGAGTACAGTGGCAAGATCCTGCAGCCTCAAACTCCCAGGCTCAACAGTCCTCCTGCCTTGGCCTCCCAAGTAGCTGGCACCACAAATGCACACCACCATGCCTGGCTAATTTTTTTATTTTTTGTAGAGACAAGGTCTCCCTATGTTGCCCAGGCTGGTCTTGAACTCCTGGGTTCAAGCAATCCTCCTGCCTTGGCCTCCCAAAGTGTTGGGATTACAGGTGTGACCCACTGTGCCCAGTTTCAGAGGACTTTTTTTAAAAATAGAAATCAAATAATGTCCTTCTTCCTTCTGTTCTCAGTCTTTAGGATGAAGTCTACGCTCATTATTACCTAGCTTACAACAGCTGAAAGCATTCTCTCCTGCTGCAGCCAACCCTCAGCTGATCTCTTCACACCCCTCTACTCCCAGTTGGTACTCTTGGTTTTTCACAGTTTCTCCACCCACCCCTTCCATCACCAGACAAGCTCCATTAATCCTCCAAACCCTTCTCCCCAAGAGAGGCACCTGTCCCCTTCTGTGGGCACCACAGGGCCTTGGACACTCCCCTGCTTCATGTGTGCTGTATTGAACTGTCTTGTCATCTCTGTCCACCCCACATTGCACCCCAGTGCCCAGGGCAATGCAGGGGCATGTGGACTCTCACTAAACATGTGTTCCATGGACAAATGAGCAAAATGAACATTAGCACTGAGTCCACCCTGAATAAATGTTTATGGAAAAGAGGAAGATGGAAAAAGGAGAAAAGGAGAAAAGGAAGGAAAGCAATCCATCTCTATATCCTACTGTCTAGAGTAAGACCAGATACTGCTGAGTTTGTGCAGTGAATGAATGAATTAGTGATGGAACAATAAATGAGTGAATGAATGAGTAAATAACTGGTCTTGTCAGAACCTGGCCCAATGCCTGGCTGGTGTGTAGTGAATACAGGTCCCCAGTCCCATGTGTGTTTTAGCATTCAGAGTTTTTCAGACTGTAGGTAGACAATGCAGCACCTATGTTGCATGTTATCACACAGGCTTGGGGTGGGGTAACACCCCAACACCCACATTAATGCATCCACAGAGAAACATCTGAATACTGGGATAAATAAAATGAATGAATGAATGTGTAAGAACAAAAATGACTGATAGCCACAAATCAGTCAAGGTGTGGTTTGGCTGCTGGGTGGGTTACAAAAACCCTCTGAGTTTTTGGAGCTCTTCCAGGTTGGGGATTGTGCATTGGGATTGTGGGCCTATTGATATAGGTTGGACCTGTGTCCCCCACCAAATCTCATGTTGAATTGTAATCCCTAATGTTGGAGGTGGGGCCTGGTAGGAGGTGATTGGATCATAGGAGTGGTTTCTCATGAATGGTTAGCACCATTCCTTTGGTGCTGTTCTCGTCATAGAGTTCCCATGAGATTTGGTTGTTTAAAAGTGCGTGGCACCACCTCCCTCTCTCTCTTCCTCCTGCTCTGGCCGCGTAAGACGTGCCTTCTTCCCCTTCGCCTTCCACCATGATTATAAGTTTCCTGAGGCCTCCCCAGAAGCTGAACAGATGCCAGCATCATGCTTCCTGTATAGCCTGCAGCACCATGAGCCAATTAAGCCTCTTTTCTTTATAAATTACCCAGTCTCCAGTATTTCTTAATAGCAGTGCAAGAGTGGACTAATACACCTATGCTTAGTAAAGGTCTACTGAATGACTGAGTGAGTGAGGAGTGTCTGTGCCCCTGGCTGCTCCCGCTGAGTGTGACCCAGGGCTATCTGTGAAAGTGCATGTGTCTCTAGAGTACTGCAGCCTCCCAAGCTATTCACCAGGATGTTTTGTGTCAGACAGAGGGCAAGGGACTTGTTGGAGCCACTGAGAATCTCAGGAGCCTCCTTCTGTGGAGAGAAGCAGTGCCCTCCATAAGCCATCTGGTCATCAGAAGGTTAAACCCATCTCCCTGAGGGCCTGGGCACCTGACTTTCACAGGGGAAGCTGGGAAGGGCAGGAGCCCTCCAGCCCAGGCAGCCACGTGTGGAAGTGGCCTCAGTGTGCTGCTCAGATAGTTAATTTCTTCTTCTCACTTTTGATAAAAGGCAGCTGTTCCCTGTCATTCCACCTGCAGCCTTGTGGGGCCCGAGTGGCCACCTTGTGGGAAGGCTCCCATTATGAGCTAAGTTGTGGCCCCCTCAAAATTCACACATTGAAGTCTTAACCCCCCTTCACTTCAGAGTGCGACTATTTGGAGACAGTACTTTTAAAGGGGAGATTATGTTAAAATGCGGCGTTAGAGTGGGCCCTAATCCAATCTGGCTAATGTCCTTATGAGAAAGGAACGTTTAGACAAACAAAGCAATATTAGCACCTTGATCTTAGAAGTCCAGCCCCCAGAACTATGAGAACATGAATGTCTGTCATTTAAGCCTCCCAGTCTGTGGTATTTTGTTATGGTAGCCCTGACTGCCTAAGAGACACCAACTTGGCTTTGACACCAAGTTCAAAGAGAAGCCAGAAAATTTCAAAACTGGTATTTGCTGTTCTCCTTCTAACGACCTTTGCGGGTGGGGCCTCTGAGAAGCCACAGTGGGAGGTCAGGCAGTAGCAGTGAGGCTGGTGGCCACCAGCTGAGAACTTGGCAAGGGACTCAACTTTTCCTGTCTCAGGCTCCTCATCTGTAAGATGGAGTTTGCAACAGGTACCTCCTGCCAGGGTGGTGATGAGAACTGAAAGAGTTGATATTTGTAAAGCTCTTACAGTGGTACTTGGTATATAGTAAGCGCTTTGTGTGAATATTTGTGAAATTACCATTTTCTGGCAAAATTACAGCTTTAAAATGTGAGGCAGCAGAAATACTATCCACCTGACAAATAAATTTTCTTGGTATGTTTTCTGCTGAAAATCTTGGGGTAATGAATCACTAGGGCCAATACTTAAATGAATACTAGGGCCATACCTGTCTCCTGGAATCTCAGGGGAACCTCAGAGTCATTCATGTTACCTACAAGCATATTCTAACTACTAAAAACCTTCTTGTACATTAAGGAGCTGGGATTTGTTTCTGGGGGATTTCCTGTGGTTTCTAACAGCTAGCAATGGGTTTAACTGCAAATTCACATGGAATTTCAGCACCCACACAGGCTTTTGAGCTCTGCAAATTCTGTCAGTTGAATAACTCCAATATCTAGCATTTACTGAGGACTGACTATATGCCAGACTGTTTGATGTATAGCTGTGAGGTAGGTGCTAAGAATAGCCGTATTTCACAGATGAAGGAATGGAGACTCAGAGAGGGTAGGCAACTTCCCTAATGTCACACAGCAGGTAAGCAGAGAACTCGGCATTTAAAGGCAGAACCTAGTCTGGGCACAGGCTCATGTCTGTAATCTCAGCACTTTGGGGGGCCAAGGTGGGTGGATCACTTGAGGTCAGGAGTTCAAAACCAGCCTGGCCAACATGGTGAAACCCTGTCTCTGCTAAAAATACAAAAAAAATTAGCTAGTCGTGGTGGCAGGCACCTGTAATCCCAGCTACTCTAGAGGCTGAGGCAGAAGAATCGCTTGAACCCGGGAGATGGAGGTTGCAGTGAGCCAAGATTGTGCTACTACACTCCAGCCTGGGCAACAGAGTGAGACTCTGACTCAAAAATAAAATAAAATAAAATAAAAAACAGAGCCTAAATGCATAAAAATTACACACCAGTGTCTCCTTACTAGCTAGGAGATGCTGGAAAGCCACTTTAGCTGCTCTGAGCCTCAGTTTCTTTAAAATAGGGATAATCATGCCTGTTTTCAAGTTCCTGCTTGGATTGCCTGTGCTTGGCACTAGAAGGCATTGGGGAACTGGTTACAGTAGTTACAGTGGTGGTTGTCATCACTAGCACTGCCTTCTTCTTTCTAATACACACCCAGAAATCACTGAAAGGCCTTACCTAAGCCATCAACTGTGATTCACTGGCCTCATCTGCAACATGAGGACAAAAATCCCTAGTCCCACTTGAAAACATTGCCTTGGAGGTCAAATTAATAATGGTACAACATGCTTTCACAACCCAATGAACTCGGGATTCTGGTTCTAGCAGCCATCAACTAGCTTTGTAATTTGACAAACCTCTTTATTTCTTAACCCCATTTCCCCCAGCTTAAAATGAGGTCAGTCTATATAAATGAGCTTCAACAGTATTAGGAATTTGAAGCCTCCACTCTTCTGAGGACAGATGAAAAGTTTATTTCCAATGAAGAGAGTCTTCCTAAACCATGGAATCAAAAAATCATGGGTTTTTCCCGGCACCCAGGCCTCAGCTCAACAATCTCTCCCCCAGAGGAGCCTTTCCTAACCACCTGTTGTCTCCCTAAAGATAACTTCTCTCCCCACTTGTGCCCTTCATAGCATCTATCACTCTCCGAAATCATCTTCTCAACCTCGTGTCTCCTCTGTCTCTCCCCACTAGAGTGTAAGCGCTCAGAAAGCTGGTACCACGCTCGCTGCCAACTGCTCAGTTTTTATAAGCCTGTAATAAATACTCAGCACATACTTGTTGAATAAATAAAATGATTCAACAATTTTGCAACTTATACAACCTTAGCATTCTTGGATGTCAAGATGCTAGAACCAAGGCTGGACATGAAAAGTTTAAAGGACTGAAGTTTTTCAAACCTATCTGAATGTCAACTCTGAAGTAGTAACTGCATTTTTTGGAAACAATAATTTATAGTATTTTTTGAACAAAGACCAAATGGACCCATCCCCTCTTTCCTTTTTATGTAGTTGTTTCTTCCACCCTAAACCTCATCACATGAGGAGCAAGGCAGACACTTGCTGTGACTGGCCTGGCCTGGTCCTCGCTTATCCTCTTTCAGAGAGAGGAAAGGTGATCACTGTGTGCTTGGCTGGTGGGCTCCAGCACTTACAACAGTGGATGTCACCTGTGGAAATGCCCAGCTGTTGAAGCCAAGAGCTGCATCACAGTTTGAGGGAGTGGCAGTATGGACAGCCACAATTCTTACCATAGGCAGCGGGAAGCCACACTCGGGGTTATTGACTCCGATGATGGAAGGAATTGCTTTAAATGCTTTCTGAGACAATAGATCTAGAGGCTCATTAGGAAAGAAAGCACCATCAACCACTTGAGTGAAAGCCTTTGTTTTCTGTAATAGGGAAGAAAAAAAAACCAGCAGCTATTTCTGTTCACAAAATCTGCTGTCCCAAATCCTGGCCAAGCAAAGCCAACCCAGTCTAGCACTGGCTTAAATGCACTTAAAAAGTAAAAGCAAACACTATGGGCCCAGCTCAATATATCAGTCCCTGGCAGCTCTGCCATGTACCTGGGCAAGGGGGCTAAACTTGTGTGTGCCTTATTTTCTTATCTGCTAAACGGGAATATCTACCTAAGAAAAACAGTGGCCTCGGATATGGTTTGGCTATGTCCCCACCCAAATCTCAAATTATAGCTCCCATAATTCCCACATATTGTGGGAGGGACCTGGTGGGAGGTAATTGAATCATGGGAGCAGGTCTTATTCATGCTATTTGCATGATAGTGAATAAAGCTCATGAGATCTGATGGTTTTTATAAAGGGGAGCGCCCCTGCACAAGCTTTTTTTTTTGCCCACTGCCATATAAGACGTGCCTTTGCTCTTTCTTCACCCTCCACCATGATGTGAGGCCTCCCCAGCCATGTGGAACTGTGAGTTTATTAAACCTCTTTCCTTTATAAATTACTTAGACTCAGGTATGTCTTTATTAGCAGCGTGAGAAGAGACTAATACAGCCTAGCACAGAGATTCTCAAAGTGTGGTTCCTAGACCAGCAGCATCAGCATCATCTGGGAATTTGTTAGAAATGCACATTCTCAGGTCCACTTCAGGCCCTCAATAAGAAACTCTAGGGTCGGGGTGTAGCCCAGGAACCTTCTTGTAACTGAAATGCCTAACCTTGTTTTTACTTTAACTCGTTACTTTGAATTTTATCCTGCTTGTCTCTTTAATCACCTAGCCTTGCTTCTCATGTAAATAAGACTCTCTCCAGCTAGGAAGGCTGGACAAACTCCAGTTGATCCCTTAATTTACAAGACACTGAGGGCTCCTCATCCAACACCCTTTCGTAAGGAGTTGGCCTGTGTAAACAGATCCTCAGCATTTCAAAGGAGCCCAATTAACTGATAAGGTACTAGCACCAACAATGTATGAAGTTCCCAGGATTTCTCTCCAAGAGATAACAACATAAAACCTTGAGTTCATGCCCTGCATAGACTCTATATCTAATTATAATGAAAGATTTAGAACCTTGCACCTGATACCGTTGCTCTTCTTGTAACTATTTGTCTTTTGTTTATCACTCTGTAACCATTTTGCTTCTTTTGATTCTTGCATGTTTTTACTTCTGTAGAATTATTACATTTGAGTCCCCCTCCCCTTCCTAAACCTAGGTATAAAAGTTAATTGAGCCCCTTCCTCGTGGCAGAGAGAATTTTGAGCATTAGCTGTCTCTCTGGCCGCCGGCTTAATAAAGGACTCTTAATTCTTCTCAAAGTGTGGCGTTCCCTTAACTCACCTGGATACAACATAACCAGTCCTCCAGGTGATCCTGATGCATGTTCAAGTTTGAGAACCACTGGCCAAATACAAAGGGAAAAATGGTGGTAGATGGAGTAGCTAGGACTGTAGGGGTTGGTGTGAACACCTTTCTCAGATGTCTCCCTGAGACACAGTGCCTGGGAAATGCCTGGATATTTCTGGGGTCTCAGAAAGCAACACTCAGCTCTAATCACGGTTTCTTCAGGTTTCTGTTTTGGGATTTGGGTAGAAAGGAGCACATGGAAGAGTTCAATACAACGTCAGGTCCAGGACTTATCCATTTCACTGAGGCTAGCATGGCTCAGAGTGGACATTCAGTACACAGCACCTAACTAGCAAATGTTGAAATCTGAAAGATAATGATCTTGTTCATTCAAAGACTGTCATCAAAGGCTCTCAAGGTTGGAAGGGACATAAAAGATCACCCGGTTCAATTAACTGTCACTGATTGAAAGTCTGTCAGTGGTCAGCTATATTTTGCTTGAATACCTGGAGAGGTGGGCATCTCACCACCTTCTAAAGGAGCCCAGTCCTTTTCCAGACAACTGAGGTCTTGAAAAGTTTTCAGTTACACAAAACTAAAATGACTTCTGAATAGAACTTCTAGCTTGTGATCTTGACTTCAGCTTCTGGAAGCATGCATAACAAGTGTGGTCCCTCTCTCCAGTGAGATGCCTTCAGGGACTTAGAGACAAGCCTTGTACTTTGCTGAATCTTCTCCAGGCTAAGTTGCACCCCTGCCCCAACAATGTTCTTAAATTACCTACAAGGGTTCTATACCCCTACTTATTTTTTTTACAGCTGTTACCAAGTATCCCCAGTCCTCCTCTTTTCCATGTTCCAAATCCAAATAAATAACAAAAGGGTAGGATTTGTTCACCTCTCTATTCAAAGGGCAACCCTGTCCCCAAAACTGCCCCCTCTGTCCTCACCTGGCTGAGGGTCAGCAGCTCCTTGGAGGATTTTGTCCTCAGGCACCTCAGTGGGGCCTCAGAGTCTGATGCATTGTACCCACAGAATTGTGCAACTACCTGCAGCTATTTTCAGAGAAAGACCAGGTCAGAGCATGATTTTGAAAGCATCTAGGAAAATGAAACCTGGAAAATGCCCTCCTATCAGCCACAGGCTTGTCCTCCATATATAAGTCCATCCTGCTACCCCTGCCTAGCCCCATGCCCCTATAAAGGAAGGTGCACGTGGCAGACAGGTTGCCACTGCCTCACCCTCACTCTCTTGCCTGGCTCGCCTTGTCATCTTTAGAAAACACCACAGCTGGGGATGGGTGTTTGTCAGTCTGTGGATATGGAATGGAATCAAGATTCCTGGTCACAAAGAGATCAGTCCTGTGAACTTGGCTGCATTGGTACTTGGCTCCTCCAGAGTCTAGAAGCCCAACCTTGAGGTGCTAAATGAAGACAGAAACACCAAGAGCGAGGAACAGCTTTGCAAGCTCCTTCAGTGTCAGTAGAGGCAGGGCTCCAGATCAGATTCTCAGCTTGTCAGCCCTGCCCAAGCCCCAGGCCCACTCACAGCCTGGAATGTCCTACCTGTCTTTTTTCCTGCCTGTATACCAATCCTTCTCATTCTTTAAAGCCCAAGTCCTGCTCTCCACAATGTCCTTTCAGGGCACTGCAGCCCCCAGAAACGCCTTCCTCATCCAATCTCCTATAAGCTCGATGTTCCCCACCTTCCATGCCTGGCCCATTGCTGAACACCTGCTTTCCTTGTCACTGAACCTTCCATATTTGTAGAACTCACTCCCTGAAAGTGGTGGCTCTTAACCTTCTGGGAGTCGTGGATACTGTGAGAATCCAATCAAAGTTACAAACCCCCTCCCTGGGAAAATGTGCAGGCATGTGGAGTCTGGTACAATTGTGGGACCACTTCCCAAACCATCCATGGATTCCAGGATTTAATCCTATCCATGGATAGGTGATAAAAAGATTATATTGCCCTCAGGTTTGGATATGCTTTCTCCACTGATAAATCCCAAAGTTCTAACAGAGCAGGGAAAATAGTGGGCATTCAGTGATGTGTCAAATGAATAAACATATGCCCAAACTGAAAGCAGCTTTATGGAGAATGTTACCAAAATCAATGTTTCCACGTATTGAGGGTATTTTTTTTTACAATTTCATAACTCTATGTTTCTGCTCTTGGTTATATACTGTTACTTTCTATAAAATGTTTAAGAAAATTTACCACTAAAATCATTAATACTCAAGAGATGGCTCCACAGCCCAGTGCTTAATTAATATGCATTGAATGAAACAGCTCATTCATTAGCTCATTCATCCAGAACATTTATAGCTGCCTGATATATACCACTTATTATGCTGGGGGCCTGAAGGACAGAGAGATCCTGGTCTCTAGGGCCTCACTCTGTAGTAGATAATTAAGAGACAGATGACAAATATCGTGGGATAGATGGCACATGGTGAGAAGGTGCCTGAACACATTCTCCCCTAACTGAGGAGAGGAAGCTAGCAAGGTGTTAACAGTATTCGTACGTCCTCACTCTTCTCATAATCATGGGCCTTCAGGTAAAGGATGATGGCCACCCCACTCTCCATGACGGCTTTGTGGAATAAGCCTTCGGCCATGGGAGACAGAATCTGGAGAGAGAACACAGAAGATCCAGGAAAGGTTACGCAGAGGACTCCCCACCGATCACAAATACCATTCATCCCTCTTCAAAGAAACCTTCCCAGGAAGCCTCCATAAAAGCTCTAAACTTAGAGGGGAAAAAAAACCCTTTTTGGCGGGGGTTAAAGGACTAGCTGTGAAGGTTTGGGCAAGTTACTTAACCTCTCTGAGCCCTGGTTCTTCATGAACTTTGATGTCAAATGTTCAGGCATGTGATTTCTAGCTCCTTCACTTCCTAGCTGTGTAACCTCGGACAAGTTGCTTAATATTTCTTTTTTTTTTTCTTTTTTTTTTTTTGAGATGAAATCTCACTCTGTGGCCAGGCTGGAGTGCAGTGGCGTGATCTCGGCTCACTGCAACCTCCAACTCCCAGGTTCAAGTGATTCTCCTGCCTCAGTCTCTGGAGTAGCTAGGATTACAGGCACGCACCACCATGCCCAGCTAATTTTTGTATTTTTAGTAGAGACACGGTTTCACCGTGTTAGCCAGGATAGTCTCAATCTCCTGATCTCGTGATCCGCCCGCCTTGGCCTCCCAAAGTGCTGGGATTACAGGCGTGAGCCGCTGCGCCCAGCCAAGTTACTTAATATTTCTAAGTATCAGTTCACTCCCCTGTAAAACTGGAGTAAAAATTGAGCCCGTATCACAAAATTATTGGAGGAGCAGGGGCAGTGACAAACATAGAAGTCTTCACAGGTGGTCTGGTCAAATTTCGTTCATGAAATAATGGCTGTTATAATATATGAAAAGTTAGGTTAATATAATCCACTTTAGAAGGTAATTTTGAAGATGTAAAAAGACCACATATATTGTTAAGTGCTAGTCAGCAGAAGCTCTCTTAACACCATGTCACTGATTTCTGCAATTAACCTGCCAACTGATGCCAAGGAAATGGTGACCACACTGAGCCAATGGACCATTTTCTAGCACCTCTGTCCATTTCTCTTCTCATCAGTTTCTTGCCAAGAATCAGGTGTGTTTGCTTCCAAACCTGTTTTGTCAACTGCACTTGTTATTGTAATTACATAATCAATGAAATATCATGAGAACAAATGAACTGTATGTGTAAAAGAAAATCAAATTATGTCTGGAAAAAAATTCTTGATAAAGGATGGCTAAAAAATATTGCTCTCGGGCCAGGCATAGTGGCTCACGCCTATAATCCCAGCACTTTTGGAAGCCAAAGCAAAAGGATCACTTGAGCCCAGAAGTTCAAGACCATCCTGGGCAATATAGCTAGACCCCATCTCTAAAAAAATGAATAAATAAATAAAAATTAGCTGGGCATGGTGGCACATGCTTCTTGTGAGGCTGAGGCATGATGATTACTTGTGCCCAGGAGTTCAGGTTGCAATGAACTATGATCACCCCACTGCATGCCAGTCTGGGCAACAGAGTGAGACCTTGTCTCAAAAAAATATATTGCTGTCGCTGGGCGCGGTGGCTCACGCCTGTAATCCCAGCACTTTGGGAGGCCAGGGCGGGCAGATCACTTGAGGTCGGCAGTTCGAGACCAGCCTGACCAACATGGAGAAAACCCATCTCTACTAAAAATACAAAATTAGTCGGGCATGGTGGCACATGCCTGTAATCCCAGCTACTCGGGAGGCTGAGGCAGGAGAAAAGCTTGAACCTGGGAGGCAGAAGTTGGGGTGAGCCTAGATTGCACCACTGCACTCCAGCCTGGGCAACAAGAGTGAAACTCCGTCTCAAAACAAACAAAAAAAGCCTTATATGTCTGTGTATGTATATATATGTATATAAATATATGTGCATGTGTGTATATACACAGTATATATAGTGCATATATGCACTATATATGTATATATTCTTATATGCACTATATATGTATATATTCTACTTATTTCTTGTCCACACATAATTTGACAGCTATATATATATAAATATTATCTAGTATATATATAAATATCTAGTACATATATAAATATCTAGTATATATAGATATATAAATATCTAGTATATATACACAGTGTATATAGTGTATAGTGTATATACACTACTATATATAGTATATATACTATATATATAGTAGTGTATATACACTATGTGTGTGTATATACTAGATATTATATATATAATATATATGGTATATATATACTATATACTATATATACTATATATAGTAGTGTATATACACTATACACTATATACACTATATACGTGTGTATGTATATATACTATATATATACTGTATACTACTTATTTCTTGTCCACACATAATTTGACAGCTATATATATATCTAATATATATAAATATCTAGTATATATAGATATATAAATATCTAGTATATATACACACATATATAGTATATATAGTGTATATATAGTGTATAGTGTATATACACTACTATATATAGTATATATACCATATATAGCAGTGTATATACACTATGTGTGTGTGTATATACTAGATATTTTATATATATATAATATATATATGGCTGTCAAATTATGTGTGGGCAAGAAATAAGTAGAATATTTGCAGGAAAAGTATAAAACTCCAAAATGTGCTCAGGCATCTTTAAGTTTGTGCCCACCGTAAAGAAACTGAAACTGCAATTTGAGGACAGCAACATTTGCAGTGGTTTATGCAAGATAATCCATGTTGGAACTCCAGTCAGCAGACCAGCTCTGCAAACATAAGGCCCTGTATCAAACTGTTGGTGAGGGAATGTACATTTTATGGTTTAAATTAAGTTAAAATAAAATTAAAATTTAATATTTATATGCATCTTTTGATATTTCATGCTTTAGCTGAGTTTTCTATTAAACAAGTAATTACCGCTCTGGTAATTGAATACTAGGGTTTCTCCTCTACAAATATAAAGGAGTTTTCCTCAAATTATTACTCACTATGTGATCTTGGGTGATTTATTTAAAGTTTCCCAGTGACGGCTATCTTGTCCATGAAATCAGACTGAGCTCCTAACTCATGATGTGTTTGTGAGGCTTGAAGAAGACAATGTGCCTTAAAGTGTCTGTTGTGCATGAAGGCACCAATCAAATGTTAGTGACTCCTCATCATCATTTTTGGACCTCCCACACTGAGATTCATTCAAATCACAAAGCAGAGAACTTACAAGGCTGGAAACACTTATGGCTCCCACGGACTCACCAAAGATGGTCACAGAGCTGGGGTCCCCACCGAAGAACTCGATGTTCTTCTGGACCCAGGATAGAGCAGCCACCTGGTCCTTGAAGGCCCAGTTCCCGGGAGCGTGCTGATCCCATGTGCTGAGGACAAGAGGCAGGGTGAGAATTCTCAGTTGGCCATGGCGTGTTTCCCACAGCCCTGGAAGTTCTCAGCAGAGGCTGTGGGCAGATGTCAGTGGGGAGGGGACTGAGAGTCAGAGGTCTGGAGGAGCTGGGGAAACCGGGCTCAGTTCTCACACTTTGCTGGGATTTGGATTTGAGAATTTGATGAAAGCTATGCACCCGAGAAGAACGCACATACAATACTGTAGGTGCAATTTCAAGTATTCATAGGCTCCTCAGAATCCATGAATCCCAGTGCGTGAATCCTGTGTTGCCCAGGCTGGTCTGGAATCCATGAATCCTTTCCTGAGAGTTGGTCTGTACTAGAAAGCAAGGGTTTTCTGAGCACAGAATTTTCCATGAAACTAAATTAATAATAATCATAATAACAATAATAGCAGGTGCAGCAGGTACCGGACACTGTTCTAAGGGCTTTAAGGCTAATACTCCTACAACCCTCACACCTATGAGGTAGATGGTGCTGGGTTTTCTCCCTTTGCTTCTCTGGGTCCTCTCCACCCTTCTCTGCCCTGTCCCCCAAAAGCTGACCTCTAGGAATGTCATCACCCAGGCCTCAGCTGTGTGCTGTGAGGGTGGGCTAGAGAGAGACTGGGATGTTTATCCCACCACCCCGTGCTCCCTCTCTGCTGGGAAGTGTTTGGGCAGAGGCTGCTTTTCTCCACAGCAGCAGCTCATGCCAACTCCCTTCCACTAAACCTGTGAGCATGCTGTCAGGATGATGAATGGATACATAAACTCTTTAATTCAGGCACTGAGAGGTTAAACCCCCTGGCTCAAGAGCTAGAAAGCTGCAGATTTGGGATCCCACGCCCCCATGCTGCTGCTCCTGCACAATTGCATGTTTCCTGGGATGGAATTAATGGGAGAACAAATGAAACAACTGGAAATCCCACAGAACCAAAGAAATGTCTAGACCGAAAGCATGCACGCAGTGCACACCATCAGTGCAAGTCATCCTGGGGCACATTCTACTCCACTCCATTCCCCAGTTCCCCAGACTGCTCCTTCCCCTGGGTTCCCTCCTCTATCCATGACCACTGAGCTGGCTCTGCCTCCACCTTCTCTCTCCCAGTCCCCTGCATCTGGTCAAGAGTCAAGCCCTGCCAATTTTACCTCCATTCTTCTGTGGCTCCCACCCTGGTCCCCATTTCTCCATCTGTTTATCCTGAGAAGCATTATACCTTAGTGGTTACTATCTCAGCCTCGAGCACAGGATTCACAGCCTGGCCACTTATCATCTGGGTGACCTTGGGCAAGTCACTTAACCTGCTGTGCTTCAATGGTTCTCATGTCTAAAATGGGGATAGTGCCCACTCCACATGGTTGTGAAGATTGACGGTGCCAGGCAGACAATAAGCATGTCATATACACCTGTTATATACATGTTAGCTATTGCTTTTGTGGTTCAACCACCCCGTGGCCCGCATCAAGACGGTGCCTCCCATTGGGGGTCCGTATCTGCAGCTGGGCACCCCTGGCTCAGCCTCCGTTCTGCTCTGGAGGTTCCTGGTACACTACTCTGAGAAAGGTACTCCTGGTCCCTCAATCTGTATTGGATAAAGCCCAAACTCCATTTACGGCCTGGCATTCAAGGTCTTTCCCTGTCAGGCCTGTCCTTGCCTTTCTGCATCCATCTCCTGCTGTAGCTTCATCTACCTATGCTCAAACCAGATATGATAAACAATTGTTGAAAACGTTCCTATCAAAGGAATCTTACGCAGAATCCTAATGTATAGAGCAGCTAGAAGTGTAATTGCTCGGGTCAGGGCACCCCGTCAGCCTGTCCTGCCTGCACAGCACTCCCAGAGCCACATTCCAGGCCTACAGGCCCAGTGCAGTTTGCAAAAGTATTGCTTCATCCTCATGTGTTGCTACCTCCCTTCCAACTTCCTAACCTTTGCACAGGTAGCACCCTTTGCCGAGCACACGTTCTCTCAACCCCTTCTCCTCAAACCCAACCACATCCTTCAGGTGCAACTCCAATGCCACCCCTCTTCCGAAGCCTCCCCAATCCCTTGCAACTCATTCCTCTGTTTCCGCAGCCCCATGGCCTCTCATTCTTGGAGAATTAACCATGTCCTTCTTGGTAATGTGGAAATTTTTGTCCCTGCATTATGTCCCCCATAGTCAGGAGCCTCTGTAGGGCAGGATTCATATTTTGAATCATTGCTGATTTTCCCATAGTATGTGACAGTGACCCCCAAGCATAATCCTGGCCCCACCTCTCACTTCTCTTTGCTTACATTGGTCCCTGGTCAGGACTTCTCCTGCCATGTTTTAGGCAGGATAATAGAAGTGGTCAAGAGACCTAGCTCTGTTTTGTGACCCCTGGGAAGTTGCTTGGCCTCTCTGGGCCTCCATTTTCCAGCTGTGAAATGAAGATAACAACAGAGAATCTTCCTTGAAGGATTATTTTGAGGATGAGTTGAAATAATGCATGCCTGGTTCATTGATAACCCAATACATGTTAGGCATGATTGGAGGAGGGAAGCCACTGTGATGGAGTGATGATTCTCAGGTGAGCATTCGAGAAGCCTTGGGGTGAGGCTCAGGTAGACGCTACCAACTGCTCACACAAACAGTGTCCTGTCTTCCAGGGCATGCAGTGGGGCTACATTGCCCCAGCTCGCTTGCAGCTGGATGTGGCCATGTGACTGAGTTCTGCCAATGGTGAGTGAACAGAAGTGACGAGTGCCACCTGCAGGCTGGGCCAGGAGACTCTCCCTTGCATGGTCCTCCATGCTTTCTCCGCCCACCTGCCAAATGCAGAAGATCCGGGGCCCTAGAGAATCCACATCAGAGCTCAAGATGTAAAGAGCCAGATCCCTGGCTGACCATGGGGAAGAATATCTGCTGATCAGGGATGCTCAATTAAACTTTACTCAAGTGAGAAAAAGATTTTTATTGTGTTAAGCCACCAAAATTTGGGGATTTATCTGCTACGGCAGCAAAAATTACCTAAGGAACTAGGGCCAGTTTTGTTCAATGTCCTGGAAGGCTCACTCCTTCTTAGGTTGCTGGGCACTGTCTATGGCTACTGCACTGCTGCCCCTTGGGGATCTGGGATGTCGATCATTTGAAGAGACTCACGTGAAGAAGCCAAATATTCCCAGCCGGTACTGGACGATCACAACCAGCATGTCCTCATAGGCAGCCAGGGAGGACCCATCGAAGATGGAGGCTGAGCCAGTCTCGAAGGCACCGCCTGGGAACCACAACAAAACCTGAGGAGGAGACAGGAATGTCCCATCAGCCCACCAGGCACCACCTCCCCTCCCCATGCAGTTTGGGGCACACGTTCTTCAGATGAAATATAAATGTCCCACTTGCTAAGCAGGGTGTGATGTTTCATCTTTTGAAGGCCCAGGGTGAAGCATGTAGGCTCTGGCACCTGAGTGCCTGGGTTTGATTCCCAGCTCTGCCACTGACTAGCTGTGTGACCTTGGGCAGTTTACTTAACCTAAGGCTCATTTTTCCCATCTGTAAATGTGAAGAAGGAAACTATCTCACTCACGAAGTTTTATGAGGTTTAAACAAAATTCTATATCTAAAGCTCATAGAACAGTGAGCATTAGCATATTTCAAGTTTCAAAGTGCTCAGAAATTGTTCACTAAATATCAGTGAACCTGTGACCCACAGGAAGATGGAAACCGTTGTAAGCCATGTCTAAAAGCAAAAACAGCTCAAGGTGTTTCAGAGGAAAGCTCTCTACCTTCAGAGGGAGGGGAGGAGAGGGGAGAAAAGGGGAATGGAGGGGGTGAGGGGAGGAGAAGTGGAGAAAAAGAGGAGGAGGAGAAGAAAGAGGAGGAGGAAGGGAGAAGGGGAAGGAGGAGAAAGGATGAAAGATGAAGAAGGAAGAGAAAGAAGGGTCAGGAGCGGTGGCTCACGCCTGTAATCCCAGCACTTCGGGAGTCTGAGGCGGGTGGATTGCTTGAGCCTCAGGAATTCAAGACCACCCTGGGCCAATATGGTGAAACCCTGTCTCTACTAAACAAAAAATTGCCGGGCATGGTGGCAGGCATCTGTTATCCCAGCTACTTGGGAAGCTGAGGCACAAGAATCACTTGAGCCCGGGTGGCGAAGGTTGCAGTGAGCTGAGGTTGCACCACTGCACTCCAGCCTGGGTGACAGGATGAGACTCTGCATCAAAAAAAAAAAAAAAAAAAAGGAGGGAAGAGTTAAAAACTTTATTGATTAGAAAAACTGGGACCAGGGAACATAAAACGTTATTCGGATGGCATTATCTCTATTTATATATTTAATAAGAAATCCGTTCCATTCTCTTTCTTAGGGTCATGTTAGAGATTACAGCCTTTGGGGCAGGTAAAGAGAGGAAAGCCACTGAGGAAAGGGGAAGAGGACAAAGCACTGGCTTTGGTGCCAGAATCTAGCACCTACTGCATGTACAACATGGAGGAAGTCATTTATGCCATTCCTGTGCTTCATCTTCTCCATCTGTGGAATGGGTCCAAATGCATGATTATGTTTTATAAATGTCTGTATTTAGCCAGTTCTTGTTTTTCTTTCAATGCAGCTACAAGGCCACAAGTTATGCTATGCTATAGATTATGTGACCTATCACGTGAGTAACTGCTTTTATTTATTGTAAGTCCGCTCATAAAAACCCCCGCTCTCTCTTTGTTTAATGCTCAGCTTCTTGGATATGAATCCACTGAGCCGGCGCATACCTAAAATAAACAATCCTCCTGTTTCTCATACTGGTCTCTCCGTTCCTCAGTTTACCGCAACAGTCCTGCTCAATGAGGTGAGGGAGCCACATGGTGGTGTCAGTTGGAAGGCAGGCCAGACAGGGCAAGGAACCAGGATCAGAGAAACCGGCTTATGTGTGGGGAGGAGATCCCCAGGTCCTGCTCCTACTTGGGCTCCTGGCAGCTCCCAGCCACTGTCCAGAGCTGCAGAGTCAGTAGCCTGAGGGTGGAGGGAGCAGGCCTGCTCTGCCTGGGACCACCCTCTTCATCCCTCTGCAGCTGAAGGCTTCACACCAATAAACACATGAGGCGGCAAGGATTACGGTAGTGCCGAGCAGCCACTCACACTTTAGTGAGAATTGCTGGATGAAGTAGTCCTGGGCTAGATCCCAGGAACATGGCAGGTCAAGTTGGATGGTGGAGGGGGTTCACCCAAGGCCTGGAGGGTCTGGGGCAATAGAAGAACCAGAGACTGGCTCATGGGGCAGATAATACCCCCACCCACTAGCCCAGATATCCAGAACACCTGCAGGCACAGGGCAGACTCTTGAGCCAACCCCATGGCCATCCACAATCCCAGTGAGGCAGGAAGAGACACAGACTCTGCCCACCTGGCCCAGTACTAAGAAACACCCCTGCCTTTGCATGTGCGTGCAGGGTCCTCACCCCGTGTGTGTTGTGGGGGGGTCCTCACACTCCAAGTATGGGTAACAACCCCTAATACGTGGCACCAGGACACAGTGGGCCCGGGGGGGCCAGTCTCGGCCCAGTCGATGTGGCCACCCCCAGCACCAAGGTGCCCTCACTGTGCAGGGCATCAGCAACTTTGATGAGTTTTCATTTAACATTCTCTTTATCACAATTACTTTGAAAACTATTCAGTGCAGTTATTAATAATTAATTATTATCTGCTGTTATATTAATTATCTGGCCATCGGGAATGTCACCAAGATTTAAAATTTTTGTTAATAATATTTCCTGGACATGGGAGAGGTTTCCTGCATCTCCACACATGCCCTCCCTGCTCTGGGTGAGGCTGGCTAGGGCCCCCCTGTTGTGGGGACCGCCCACTCTCGCTGGCACCGCCTGCAGGCTGCCCCCATCAGTTCATCCTGGGCCCTGGGCAGAGCTCTGGGCAGGCCTGGGTGACTGAACCCTCCCTCCAGCTGCTCCCACCGGGCCCTGGTGTGCCCATGCTCGTGAGCCCTGTGGCCTATGCAGGTCCTCAATGGCCCCCAGGATGGGGCCGCCCTGGCACCGAGGCCTGCTGGGATTGCAGTGGGAGGCTGCAAAGCGCCTGCCACGTGAGAGGTGGCACCAGTGGCCTGCTGTGCTAGGTCAGCCCCAGCTGCAGATTCCAGGCTGCTGCACTCCCACAGGGCCCCTGCCTAGCCCCGCAGCGGTCTCCAGTGTCCTCATCAGCCCTGTGACCAGCAGCCTCAGGGAGCCACAGGAGACAGGAGACCCTCCACTGGGTGCACACAGACAGGCCTGGAGAGGACAGGATGGGCCACATGGACGGCTGGCTGGGGCTGCGGAGCCCAGGGGTGGTGCCGCAGGCACTGGGAGGTGGCATTATGTGACCACGGCAGCCTAAGACCACCACTGTGGGCCCAAGCTCGCAGCTCGCTTCCCACTATTCTCAGTGAGAGGACACAGGCTACCCCTTGAGGCCAGCCCACAGCTCTCTTACCAGGCAGCAACTTACCGCCCCTCACTGTGTCCTGTCGCTCTGCTCTTGTGGCCTGCTGTGCAGCAGGCACCATGTCACCCGTTCATAGATGAGCAAGCCAAGGCTCGGGGCAGGAGACCGGTGCAGCAGGCTCTCACCACCTCATGGGAGCAGGCTCTGCAC
Organism: Homo sapiens; assembly: GCF_000001405.40. NCBI lineage: Eukaryota > Metazoa > Chordata > Mammalia > Primates > Hominidae > Homo > Homo sapiens. The sequence goes on from NT_187632.1 coordinate 26,314, forward strand.
ACGGCATGCTCTCAGGCCCCTTTGGCTGAGTGCCCAGCCCCAACCCCAAGCTACCCCGCTGGCTATCCAAGCACTGGGTGGAGTCTGGAGGAGAGAATGGTTAGGTGCCTCCTCTGGGTGGCCCCTCACTTTAGGGAGGCTCAGGGGCTGTGCTCCAGCCTAGGTGGACATGGTTGTGGCTGCCCCTGTCCCTCCTCCTGCCCCTGCCCCTCCTCCCACCCTTGCCTGCTTCCTCTGCTCCAGCTCAGTCAAGAAGCGTGGGGTGCTGCTGAGACAGAAGGGGGCCAGGGAGAATGCCCATGGCATGAAGTCCTCCAGACCTGCCCTAACCTCCCCCTCCCCACTCTACAATGCGCACCCCATAAAGACCTTTGTCAGGCAACCCCTCCAATGCAATCAGACCAGCGTGGAGCCTCCTGTGCCTGAGGAACTAGTCCCAAGCAATGGCAGCCCTCAAACCCACTGTGGGCTTGTCAGCATGGTACTATGACAGTGCTGATGACAGTAGTGAGGATGGGCTCAGTCACAGCGACCATAGTGACGGAGGTGTGGTGATGGTGATGGAGGTAGTGATGGTGATAGTGATGGTGATGGTGGTGGCGATGGAGGTAGTGATGGAGGTGGTGTTACTGGCGGTGGTGGTGTGGAAGCGGTGATGGGGGTGGTGATGGTGGAGGTGATGGAGGCTGTGGTGGTGATGATGGTAGTCATGGTGATGGTGGTGGTGGTGATGCTGGTGATCATGGTGATGGTGGTGGTGGTGGTGATGGTGGTGGTCAAAATAGAGGTTATGTGGTGGTACTGATGGTGATGGTGATGGTGGGGATGGTGAGGGTAATGGTGGTGGTGATGGAAGTTGTGGTTACAGTGATGGTGTTGATTGTGGTGGAGGTGATGGTGCTGGTAGTGATGGTGGTGGTGGTGGTGGTGGTGGTGATGATGCCGGTGCTGGTGGTGATGGGGTGCTGGTGGAGCTGGCCATGATGGTGGTTATGGCCGTGCTCATGGTGACAGTGGTGATGATGTAAATGGATTCTCCTCCTGGAGTTTCCTGGAGAAACAACTTCTCTGCTTCCCCAGGGCTGCCTGGTCCCTCCCTGCCTGGGGGTGGCCCCCAGAGGCAGGAAGAGCAGAGCGTGGACTGAGCCTGACAGGGCAGTCAGTATCTTGAACTCACAGAGAACATTTAATCTTAGTTAAAAGTAAATAAGTTCATTTACTGGGAGGGGAAGAAGGGCCCAATATTTACTGCAAGCATGTGGAGTGATTACTCCAGGAGGTTCCCTTGGGATGCCAGGCTCCATCCCCACTCCTGTCAGGTTCACCTGTGGCAGGTGGGAGGGAACGGCATGGGCCCACCCTGCCCTCGGGCCCCCAGAGGGGCATCTCTCTTCTACCCCCCACGGCAGGGGCTGCAGGGTTGGCAATGCCCCCTTCCCTCCCTCAGCCCCCAACTCTTGGCAGGGCCCTGGCCCACGGACCCCTGGATTCTTGCATGTGGGCACACCTCAGCCCCTGGCAGGACACCCCCAGGCCCTCACTGGCTCTGTTGCTCACCTGCTGTGTGACCTCAGGAACCCTGCCCCTTTTTGAGCCCCTGTACTCACCTAGGAAATGGGTGATAAAGGCACGTGCCCCCGGCGGGGGATGGAGGTTGGTGCTGGTGGTCAGTGTTCCCATGACAATGACCTATTGGCTGTGCAGAAGGTGAGCCTCATCTTCCAAACTCAAGGAGTCCTTCATGAGCACAGCCCTCAGCCACCGAGATCCCCCAAACTCCCATAGTTCCCGAATCTCCACGGCCAAGTGCTGAGACAAGAGCCCTGGGGCTCAAGGCCCCTCAGGCAGGGTGCGGTGAGGGCCCGTCGGAGGAAGGGCTTCCTCCTGCCCATCCTGGCTGGGCGCTGTGCGGGACTGCAGGAGCCTGAGTTGGGGTAAAAGGAATTTCAGGGGAGACAGTCAGATCCAAGGTCAACTGCCCAGCTCAGCCCAGGACTCCAGCCTCTTGCAACAAGATGGGCCAGGCCCCTCGCTGGAGTCTGCTCAGCAAGGGGCCTGTGGGTCCCTGGGCAAGCACTAGCCGGGTCCTACCCTCAGCCTGGGGCCTCCTTCCAGCCTCCTCCCTGGCGCAGCCCAGCTAGAGTTTGTTCATTTCCTGGGGGCTCCCGCCTCCCCCTCCCCTGGCCCTGCACTGCGTGAGGGCGCATCTCCTAGAACCAGCCCCCCAGAGTCTGCTGAGATTAGGAGACCTGGAGGTTACCCCAGGGACACCCTGCCCCTGTGCCCCAGACAGGTGTCCCCCCCACTATGGGTGATGAATGTCGAGGAGCTGCCATTATAATTAGTGTGGAATGTGCCGCCTCTCCCAGGGAGGAAAATCCCATCTTGGAAATACACCTCAGATGCAAGTTGAATTTCACCCACGGGGCCATAAAACCATTTTTTCAATCACCTGGTGCTGTTGGGGGCTGGCACCATTAATCCTGGAGATGTTATTTAGAGCCAAGACATCACTTGGGGAAAAAAATCAGGTCCGCACTCCATGAGGAACCCCTCTCTATGCCCTGCAGAGGCCTCAGGAGATGGACGAGACTGCTCGGGCACCAGGCAGGGAGGGGCAGGGACGCAGCTACCCTCACAGCCACCCTCACGGCCCAGGAGCCATGCCTCACTTCATCAGCTCCTGCCAGACCCTCCCTACCAGAGATGGCCCCATCGGCATAAGGGAAGACTGAGGCCAGAGAGGAATGGAGGAATTGGAGGGCTGGAACAGCTGGTGGGCTGGACGGCTCAGCTCCACTTGCCCTGCCTGCCCCCAGCAGACACTGCCCTCCTCTTCATTCCCAAAGCCCCCACCCGGCCCAGATCCTCTCCTGAGATCAGTATCATCCAACAGCCTTTTATAAAAAATTGTTTCCTTGATTACCGAGGGTAACAATGAAAACACGTAATTGAATCTCCAAGAAATTACCATTTTTATAACTTGCGCCCAGTTCCCGAGATAAATTAAACGCCTCCCCTGTATGGTGAGCCGCTCACTGCGCATCAGAGAGGGGCTGATACTGCCCTTTATCATCGATGCGGGACTTACTAAGAAGAATGCCTCACACTGCCTCCCGGGAGGCTCCTGGCACCTCCAGCTCATGGCCCTGAGCGGGCAGAGTTGGCCAGCTGGAGGCGCCGGGCGGGTGGTCAGGTGGGCCCCCTCCTGATCACTCCTGGCCCTGTTACTGGCTAGCTGCGTGGTGGTGTGGGTGGTAAGTGGGAGGGCCAGTCAGAATCTTAGCCCAGACTCCCAAGAAAATCAGGCCTGTGCGCAGCCGGGCAGCGACAGCTTTCTGAGAAGTGCAACCCTGGAGCCAGAGTGGGGAAAAGGCAGGGAAGCCGGGTAGGAGGAAGGAAGTGGAGATGGCAGAGAGGGAGGATTTACCCACCTGCCCCCCACTTGCTGGCCAAAGCTGACCCCACCCAATTGCGCCAGTGCCCAGAGGACCCAAGATATCACAAGGTCAGGCAGCAGAGCGGCTCTGGGGGAGGCGAGGCCCCGCTGAGGCAAGGCACCGCCTGGCACAGGGTCCGGGAGCAGGTGGGGGCAGCAGGGTGGCCACACCCACCCAAGGAGCTGCTGGGTTGGTCAGCAGAGGGGCGGGGAGGTGGGGCCAGCTACCGGGATGGGCTGTCCATCTGTGAGCAGCTGGTAGTGGGTTTCCTGCTGGCAGTTGCTAGTGGCTGGATTCTCATGGCTCTCTGGCTGGCTGGAGGCCGTTTGGGTTGTGGGGAAGCAGAAGCCTCCAGCCTGTGGACTGAGTTTCCTGAAAATGTCTGCAGGCTGCACTCAGCAGAGCCAACTTCAAGCAAAGGACCCGAGTGACACTATTCACGTGCAAACCACCGCCCCTCCCAGCGTGGCTGTTTGCCTGAGGGCCCAGAGCCACCCCCTGGGGAACACTGCCTAGTCAGAAACCTGGCAGTGGTGGCTGCACAGCGAGGAGGGGTGCTGTCAGGGGACAGAGGACCTGCTCCCTGGGAACGGGAGAACTGAGGCCCAAAGAGTGGCCTCCCACTTGATCTAGGCAAACTCAGGGTCAAGGGCAACAGGCTGAGGTCACCAGGAGCTCAAAGGCTGGCTCTGAAGGTGAGACCTTCTTCTGAGGAAGCAAGTGGCCTCAAGCAGCACCCTCTGGCAGCCGGCCCAGAGGACTGGAGTGGGGTGGGCCGGGAGGAACATCGTTCGGGACGGGGTGGGTGCCTACACCCACAACTGTGCTCCTGCCTTCTCTCCCTCCCTGGCCTGGTTCCCGACTTCCCAGGGTCCCCTCCTGCCCCCACGAGGCCCTGCCGCCCAAGGGCCTGCCTGGATGCTCCAGTGGGGCTTGAAACCCCCACAGTCAGGCAGCAGACCGTGACTTCTCAGCTGTGTGTCCTGGACAGAAGCAAAGGAGGCCCCAGAACCTCTCATCGCAACTCCAACCAACATGGGAATCCAGGGCTGCAGGGGGCAGCCTGCCTGGGGACAGGGCTGGGCTCAGACCCCAAAGCCCAGGGTCTGCAGCCATCCCAGTCCCATTCCACAGAGCCTGAGGCACCAACCTCAACCTACTCCCAGCCCCACTCCCACCCCATGCCCCAGATCCCCCATCCCACCAGAATACACCCAGCCCACAGCCTGGCTCCAAGGAACAGGCTTGTCGGGCCTGAGGGCCTCCAAAAGGGCTCTGTCTCCAGGCCCGGAGGAGAGCAGAGGCCCCAGCCCAGGTCAGAAAGGGGCAGAGTGGACGCAGGGCCCCAGAAGGCCAGCGCTGAGATCCCTCCCCTGCCCTGTCCCCAGTAAACCTCTGGTGTGTCCCCTTGAGGCCCCCATGAGAAGAATGAGGCAAGCAGGGTGGAAATGGTGTGGTCACTCCAGAGCAGTGGCCGTATCCAGCCTCCCGGCCAGCCCTCCTCCCCAGACCAAGGCCCAGGTGGCATCTCCCAGGGCAGAGCCAGGACCAGCCTCCCACCCTCCCCTGCTGTGGGGGCCGAGGCAGCAGTTGGAGGTGGGGGCTCCACCTCCCCAGCCTCCGTCATTCCCTCTCAGATGACTCTTCATGTGGTTTGGTTTGCCTCTTGGAGTCCCTGCAGGGTGCCCCTGCTGACCCTAAGCTGGCCTCCTGCTCGCTGGGAACCCGGCCATCCCTCTGGTTCCTGGTTCTTCCTCCAAATGAGGTCTCTCTTAGCTGAGAGCAGCGCCTACACCCGGGCCACCCTCCATCCACGGCCTCACTGACCCAGGCCACAGCGGCTGCCACACCCTGGTCAGGGGCAGTCATGACCTTGGACAGGAGCTGGGACCCCTCCCCCAGCCCCAGCTGCCCACTGACAAGTGGGACAACCTGGGGCCAGGCCGGGGCTGCCCGAAGGCTACTATGCTTGGGAAGACCCCAAGACAGGAGCCCTGCCCCTTGGGAGGGGTGGCAAACTGCCCCGGGACAGTGCCGGGGTGTCTGGGATGATTCGTCTCCATGTGAAATGTGGGACAGACACCCTAGACTCAGCAAGGGAACTTCTGGCTACCTGGTCAGCCCCTGCCCTAGGCCTCCATGAGAACTTCGGATCCAAGTGGGGAGGTGGCTCCCCCAGCACTGCCCCTGACCTCCCAGAGCTTCCCCTGCTGGATGCTCCAGCTGCAGCTCCCAAACCACTTGGCCTGCTCTGGGCACTGCGTCTGCAGGGGCGTAGTGCCATCTGGTGGTGAAACTGGGAACTGCACCACAGCTCCAGCCCGTACCTGCCGCACACAAGTCCCGGAGACCAAGGGGTGGCCATGGAGGGATTCCAGGGGGCCTGCCGCTCCTCACCTGCTCCCCACCCACCCCCCATCTCTCTCTCAACCCAGGAGCCTGATACTGGGACACACAGACAGGCCCTGGGAGCTCACAGCCCAGCACCGTGTTTCCTGCTCCAATAGGCAGCCTAGTCCCAGCAGGTGCTGGGCAGGCACAGGGCAGCTAAGGGGACGGGTAAGGAGTCCTGGCTCTTGGCCCCAGCAAGGACCTGGGAGATGACCTTGGCACCGACCATCAGGCACTCGCCACACTGTCTCCCCAGGCTCCACTGTCTCCCCAGGCTCCGACTAGAAGGGACAGGTGGGCAGGAAGTGCCAAGAAGGTGGACTGGCCAAGCCGGTGGGCTCCTCACAGGGAGGAGCCTGGGCCTGGGCAGGGGTGGGCACGTTCAGTTCAGCCCCGGCAACCCTGGAGCCAGGGGCCTGGCAGCCCCAGCATGGCCACCTCCTGGGGCCTTGGAGCCCTGGACACCCTGGCTGACAGTCATTTACTGGGGCCACATTGTCCATGAGAGGTGACATTCTTATCTCTCTCTGATTCCTAAATAAAAAATGTGAAAAGCCGTGTCCAGAGCCTCACCCAGGAGGGAGACAAATGGCCTGCTATGGCCCGCACCCTGGGAGCGGCTTAGCCATGCTGGGGACGGGGCAGACAAAAGGTGAGCCCTTACCTCTCTGAGCCTCACCTCTGACATGGGAAGGCCCCAGGGACAGGGAGGTCATGGGCTCAGCATCCCCAGCACTCTGCCCTTCCCCCACACCCTGTTCCCAGGACCCAGCCCTCATCTGTTCTCTGTCCCCTCGGGGGTGCCCCACAGGGTGGGAAGGCAGGGGAGGCTGCCCGGCACTCGGGGCATGTGTCCACTCGCCACCCTGGCCCTGGACAGGGTGGGGCACTCTGCAGGCCACCGCATCCCTCACACAGCCCCCCGCAGACCCGTCCTCCTGGCTGTGAGTCTAGGGGAACCTGGGAGGCCCAAGACCACCCTTGGAGCCCCATGGGCCCTGACCGAAGGCCACCACGCACCTCTTCCCCTCCTGAGGCAAAGGAGCACTCACACCTCAGGCCACAGCCCAGGCCCTGGGAGGACATGAAGGGTAGTGCCCATGCCAGGGCCCATGGCCATTTCGGCCAGGTTTCCTGGGACCCCCAACCCTCCCCATAGGGCAGCTCTGAGGGCTGGAGAGGGAGTAGACCCTGACAGGCAGCCTGGGTGGGTGTGGGCCAAGAGCCCAGGTTAGGAGGGGGCACAGAGATAGGGTCCTCTGAGGGCTGTGGCTAGCCCAGTGACACCGAGTTCCATCCACTCAGGGCCTGTTCCCTGGCTTTTGAGATAAGCTTGGGAACAGCCAAGCACAGGCAAGGTGGCTCACACCTGTAATCCTAACATTTTGAGAGGCTGAGGTGGGCAGATCACTTGAGCCAGGAGTTTAAGACCAGCCTGGGCAACATAGCGAGACCCAGTCTCCACAAAAATAAAATAATAAAGAATTAGCTGGGCATGGTGGCGCATACCTGTGGTCCCCAATACACAGGAGGCTGAGGTGGGAGGATCCCTCAAGCCCAGTTGGAGGCTTCAATGAGCTGTGATCGAACCACTGCACTCCAGCCTGGGCAACAGAGTGAGATCCTGTTTTAAAAAATAAAAATAGAAAATAAATAAAACGAGCTTAGGGCATGGAACATCAAGGCGGCAGTGCAGACAGCAGAACAGCCCCATCTGGCCCCTGCCCTGCGCTGCAGCCCGGCTCCAGCAGGAAGGACTCGGGTCTCCATGCTGGGCGCCCCAGCCTCTCCTCCTCTTTGCCCTCCCAACCCATTCCTGGGCAGCAGAGGAGGGGCAAGGGCACAGGGCAGACCCTCTGAACCAGGCTCCTCGAGGCCATCTGGACACTGTGGCAACATGGGCAGGAAGCGGCTTCCGTTGCAAATGATGTCCAGGGAGGCGCCGGCCTGGCAACGGGGCCACGGCCCCCCCAGCACACTGCTCTGGCCACACTTTTCGCCCTCGAGGCCGGGAGTTCCGGCTTCCAGCCAGTGCCCCCGCCGCAGCCGCGCCCTGTCCTGCACGACATCCCGGAGCCTGGACCTGAGGCGAACCCCCACGCCCACCCCAATCCAGGACACCGCTTGGCAGGGCGCTTGGCCTTTGTTAGCGTATATGACCCCGTGAGTGGGGAACCCCAGGGCTGGGGATCCAGGGCCCCGTCTCTCCAAGAGTCCCCCCGACCTTCTCGGGCTCAGGGTGATTGGCAAGGATCACAGGGAGGGGTGAGAGGGGCTGGGGGAGGAGGGGCTTCAGGGCTGAGTGAGACAGCAGCAGCTTTCCCTGGCACAGGCGGGGAGAGGAGTGGGGGCATCAGGGAACTTGGGGTTTCCAGGCCAAGGAGGGTGGTGCCCAGGGTCAAGGGTGACGGGAGGACACTGGGCCATTCAGGGGGTCCTGGGCGCCCCCTCGGGGCCACTGGGGAAGCTCATCTAGGCCTGGGCACCTACGGTGGGACCTAAGGACCCCGCCCTGCTGTTCGCCCAGGAAGCCAGTGTTGTCTTCCTTGCTACAGGAGCCACCTGTCTCTGTGAGGACCTCTCACTCCTCAGCATCCTGGCCCCTGTGGGGCACCTAGCAGGCTGGGGACACACAGAGCAGGTGCAGCCCCCACCCCACTCACTCAGGGACACAGAGAGCAGGGGGCAGGCCCCGCCCCACTCAGGGACACAGAGAGCAGGAGGCAGCCCCCGCCCCACTCACTCAGGGACACAGAGAGCAGGGTGCAGCCCCCCGCCCCACTCACTCAGGGACGCAGAGAGCAGGGGCCAGCCCCCGCCCCACTCACTCAGGGACGCAGAGAGCAGGGGCCAGCCCCCGCCCCACTCACTCAGGGACACAGAGAGCAGGGTGCAGCCCCCCACCCCACTCACTCAGGGACGCAGAGAGCAGGGTGCAGCCCCCCGCCCCTCTCACTCAGGGACGCAGAGAGCAGGGGGCAGGCCCCGCCCCATGCACTCAGGGACAGAGAGCAGGGTTCATCCTCCCGCCCCACTCACTCAGGGACACAGAGAGCAGGGGGCAGGCCCCGCCCCACTCACTCAGGGATGCAGAGAGCAGGGGGCAGCCCCCTCCCCTGCTGCTCAAGGCCTCCTCCACCCCACCCCAGGGCCACCTCACCTCAGGGTTCCTCCAAGAGGCCTTCCTTAGCCCCCATCCCAAGTTGCCCCATGGGGTCTCTGAGCTCAGCAAATCCGGAGACCCATGACATTCCAGCAAGGAATGAACAGGGCAGAGGCCAGGGGAGGTTCCTGAAGGCTGCCGCCGCCCTCTGGCAGCTAACAGACAGCCTCCAGTAGCCAGGGCCAGGTATCCAGCCGCCTCTGCTGGGGAGGCCCCACGTGGCACTGAGAACAGGAGAGAGGTCTTCTGCAGACAAGATCTTTCAAGACACTTCTTGAAGTGGAGAGCAGAGGCTGACATAGCAGGACACCCTGGCAGGAAGAAGGCAAGCAGCTGGCAAGCAGTAGCCTCGTCACTGGTATGAGGAGACGTGTGCTGCAAACAAGCATGGCAGGACAGCAGCGGGAGCTGGTACTGTCCCCACTCCAGACCGCAGCCCTGCAGCCCGAGACGAGTGGGAGCCGGTACTGCCCCCACTCCAGACCGCAGCCCTGCAGCCCGAGACGAGTGGGAGCCAGTACTGCCCCCACTCCAGACCGCAGCCCTGCAGCCCGAGACGAGTGGGAGCCGGGACTGTCCCCACTCCAGACTGCAGCCCTGCAGCCCAAGATGCTGCCTGGAGGCAGGAGGCCTCCCTTCCAAGACCTGGGTGTCCGGCTTTCTCAAGTTAACAAGGAGAGAGGAGTGCCGGGCAGCTCTGCCTGCCTCCCCTATAAACAGGGATCAAAAAGAAAGAAAAGGCTGGGCACAGTGGCTCACGCCTGTAATCCCAGCACTTTGAGACGCAGAGGCAGGCAGATCACGAGGTCAGGAGATCGAGACCATCCTGGCTAATGCGGTGAAACCCCATCTCTACTAAAAATACAAAAAAATTAGCCGGGCGCGGTGGCGGGCGCCTGTAGTCCCGGCTGCTCAGGAGGCTGAGGCAGGAGAATGGCGTGAACCCGGGAGGCGGAGCTTGCAGTGAGCCGAGATCGCGCCACTGCACTCCAGCCTGGGCGACAGAGCAAGACCCCATCTCAAAAAAAAGAAAAAAAAGAAAGAAAAGCCAGACATTTGAGCACTGAGTCTCATGGGAAGTTCCAAGACTAAATAAACAAAAAAGAACCATGAGAGAAAATGCAGAAAGCAAAAGATTCGCCTTCCTCCAAACCCACTTTATGCCTAAGAGCAGAACTGAATTCTCTGGAACAAGAAGAGGGGAGCTCAGGGAATGATAGAGATGTCTTGGAAATGAAAAACAGGACTGCTAAAATCCAAAACCAATTTTTTATTTTTATTTATTTTAAAACAGTCTGGCTCTGTCACCAGGCTGGAGTACAGTGGTGTGATTTCGGCTCACTGCAACCTCTGCCACCCGGGTTCAAGCCAGTCTCCTGCCTCAGCCTCCTGAGTAGCTGGGATTACAGGTGCACACCACCACATTCAGCTACTTTTTGTATTTTTAGTAGAGACGGGGTTTCACCATGTTGGCCAGGCTGGTCTGGAACTCCTGACCTCAAGTGATCTGCCTGCCTCGGCCTCCCAAAGTGCCTGGGACTACAGGTGTAAGCCACTACATCCAGCCCCAAAACTAATTTTTTAAAAAGCAGAGAGAGTGTGTGTGTTTGGATTCAAGGAAAATCTTATCTACAAGCAAAGGTAGAAAGAAGGACTCACAGAATCTATCCAAAAGGCCCAACATCTGACTGACAGGAGTTCCAGAATGAGCAGGAAACGAGAAGAAATGTTATCAAAGAAATGCCAGGTCTCAAGGCAGAACGTGCTCACCAAGCGCCCAGCGTGGTGAGGAAACACCCGCAGTTGGTGTGACCCCCCAGAGGTGCAGGGATCAGAGGGGACCCTGCAGGCTTCCAGGGAGAAGGCCGGCGGCCTGGCTAGCTCTCACCACCAAGGACCACGACTGGCCTTCCAGTCCTGTTGGAAAATGCCCTCTTCCCCGATTCTCTCCCCAGCCTGATGTCCAGCAGGTGTGAGGTCAGGGTAAGACGCTTCTAGTCCCGTGAGGCCTTTTTTTTTTTTTTTTTGAGATGGGGTCTCGCTCTGTCGCCCAGGCTGGAGTGCGTGCAGTGGCACAATCTCGGCTCACGGCAAACTCTGCCTCCCAGATACCACACAAGGACTTCTCCGAGCCAGCTTTCTGAGGGTTAACTGAGGGCTGAGGGGTTCAAGAAGGAGGACACGGGCACAGGGACTCACGGGCAGTGAGAGGCAGTGGGGCCAATGGCGTGAGGAGCACCAGAGAGCAGGAGGGAACGGGCCTGGGGCGTGAATCCGGCCCCATGAGTGCTCTTCGGCCGCCCAAAACCGGTCCCATGGGTAACAGCGTGGCCTTCGGCAAGTGACTAAAGGGCTTCCTGCCTCAGCTTCCCCACCTGTAAACAGAGGATAACAATGGCATGTACTGGATCTGGCATAAAGTAAATGTTCAATAGATAGCTAGAAAAGAATGTTTTAAAACCTCAGAGATACATTAGGCGAAAATAAAAGCTGGGCTACAGAATGACCTCTTCCGTGGGGACGAGGGGCAGAGGACGGCAGCCCACCTCCAGGAGGAGCTTAAAGAGGCGGCTCCTGGCTGCAGGGACAGGAGATAGAAGTGGGAAAGGCTTGGGCGCCATTTTTATTGTTTGGTATTTTTTGAATCCACACTGTGTGTGTATTATCGGTTTTACATCTTAAGAAAAATAACCAGGCTGGGTGCAGTGGCTCACGTCTGTAATCCCAACACTTTCAGAGGCTGAGGCAAGAGATCGCTTGAGGCCAGGAGTTTGAGACCAGCTGGGCAACACAGGGAGACCCCCCCATCTCTGCAAAAAATTTAAAAATTAGCCGGGCATGGTTGCATAAATCTGTAGTCCTAGCTACTTGGGAGGCTCAGATGGGAGGATTGCCTGAGCACAGGGATTGGAGGCCGCAATGAGACATCATTGTGCCACTGCACTCCAGCCTGGGTGACAGAGCAAGGCCCTTTCCCATAAAAAGAAAGAAAGAAAAAAAACTCTTGGTGGGTCAGAGGCAGTGAGGTCATCAGGCGGGGCAGCTTCAGGACCAGGTGGAAGGGGCCCACTGTGACCTCCCTGGCTGCACCCAGGCCTTTGTGACTGGGAGCCAGTGGGTCACCCAGAGCCCTCAATAAGAGGGCAGCAGGTCGGGCCAGGCCAGAGCCTGGACCTGGGGTCAGGAAGGGGTTGCAGGGAAGGATGGAGGGGCTGAAAACCCTGGGCCCCTGCGGCCACGCCCAACCCCAGTGTCCCCCAGCCGCAGCCTCCAGCAGCCATGGAGGATGCCTGGACTAGCACTGCCAGGGATTTGTAGTGTGACCCTGCCTGGGCCCCATCTCCTCTGCTCACTCAGTGCAGTCCCAGAGACCTTACCCAGTCCCAGGGGCAGGGGGTAGTGGGGAGGGGATCCAGGGTGGAGGGCGAGGCTGCCAGGATCTTTTCTGTCCAGCGAGGAGCAGAGAGCGAGAAACCCTGAAGGGCTGAGACAAGGAGACCTGGAGTCAGGGCTCGGGTGGGGCTGGCCCCTGCACCCAGGGTCGAACCAGGGGGCTCCCAGGCAGGGGGGATTCACTGGCTCCGGGGTCAGACCCTGCCCATGCCCACCCCTGTCATCAGAGGGAGGGGCCCTGGCCTTGCCCAAGGCAGCCCTGTCCCAGCTTCAGTGTGGGCCTCTGGGCTCTGCAGAACAGTCCTTCCTGGAGCAGGAGAACCACAGCCTGGTGAGCACCCACCCATCACCTGGCGCCCCTGCCCCAGCCCCAGCCCCAGCCCCAGGAGCGGCCATGACAAGCAGTCCCCTCTCTCTGCTCCCCACCCCAGAAAAGACAGAACCAGGACCTTCGGGAGCAGCTGGGGGCCCTCCTGGGGCCGGGGCAGCAGTTCCTGCCCCTGTGTCCCGAACACTCAAGCTGCACTGCTCTGGCCTGGGTAAGTACAGGGCCCAGGGACCCCATGCAGCCAATGCCCCACTAGCCCACAGCCTTGGGGCTGATCTGGGGGCTCTCCCACAGCCCCCCGACCCGGCTGGCACGCAGCCCTTGGGGAACAGGGCACCTCTGCAGCTGCTGCGGCGGGAGCTGTCCCAGGGGCAAGAGGCTTTCGTGCAGCCGTCCCTGGTGGGCCTGGGGGAGGGGCTGTGGGGGGAGGAAGCTTCGTACAGCACTCCAGGTGGGCCTGAGGGGTTCATTAGGGAGGGAGGTCTTCGTGCAGTAGGCTAGTGGGCCCGGCGGGGAGGTACCGGCCACCCTGCTGATGCTGCCCAAGCCCACCCTGGGCCCCACCCTCAACGAGCTGCAGCAGATCCGCCTGTGCTTTGAGAGGAAGAAGATGGTCATCACAGAGGTGCCCGCCTGGCTGAGGGGGAGGGGTGCTGGGGGCCACCCCGTGGGTCCTGCTCCTCAGGCGTGACCCCACCTTCTCCCAGGCGTGGGACAACGTGGCTGAGATGCACGTGGCCCTGAACAACCAGGCCACCGGGCTCCTGGTAGGTCCCCACAAGGCAGCACCCAGAAGGATGGGGCCCGGCGGGCAAGAGGCCGGGGAGGGCAGGGCCAGGGGCCTCATGTGCTTACCTCCTCTGGCCCCCAGAACCTCAAGAAGGACATCTGGGGCGTGCTGGACCAGATGGAGGACATCCAGCTGGAGATTCTCAGGTAACACAGGGGCAGGGGCTGGGCCAGCTGAGCAGGGTCTCGGAAGGGGTTCTGGTCAGGACAAGGCAGATACATCCTTGACCCTCCCCACCTACCTCCATAGCACTGAGCCGGGGGTGGGTGCCAGGCTGGGGGGTGGAGGGCGTGGGGTCTTGACAGTGAGGCCTCTGCAGGGAGCGGGCCCAGTGCCACACTCAGGCCAAGAAGGAGCCGCAGATGGCGAGCATGGCAGTGAGCCCCCCACGCCCCACTCTGGGTCTGGAGACCAGCCCCCCACCCAGCACCCTGCTTGGGCAAGGGGGAGAAATGAGCTCCAGCAGAGCAGGTCCAGGGTGGGGGGCATCTGAAAAGTGGCTGCAGGAGCCTGTCCAGGAGGAAGGGGCCAGGGCTGCGGTGCGGGGAGCCCTGTCTGAGGAGGGTTTCCCAAAGCCAGGGATCCCCGCCCTCAGCCTGGACCCTCGGAGTGGGCTCCCCTCCCCATCAGAAAGGGAGACCAAAGTTGGAAAGCTCCAAGGGCCTGGCAGGCCAGCTCTGGTAGGTGACTGTGTGGCAGAGCCCAGCCCCCAGGCCCCCTGCGTGCCCCTGGCCCTGACTGCCACCGCCCGTAGGCTGCTGATCCTGAGGCTGCTGCTGGGCACCCTGCTGGTCGCCTACGTGTACATGGTGAACCCCAGGCCCTTCGAGGGGCTGGTGCCGCCCCTGCTGAGCCGTGCCACCATCTGGAAGCTCCGGGCCCTGCTGGACCCCTTCCTGCGCCTTGAGGTGGATGGCTTCCTGTCCTTCTAGGCCGGAGGCCCAGCGGCCCCAGCAAGGAGGTGGCCAGGCGACCAGCGCTGCCCCAGATGCCCAGTGGCTGCGCTGGCCCCCTGCACACGGCACCACTGTGCACCGTCCCTGCCAGGAGCTGCAGAGAAGGGGGGTGGCGGGGTCTGTCCTGAGGGTTGGGCCTGTGGTTGGACATAGAATCATGACATATGTAGCCGGTGAGCACGTCTCTGTGGAAATTGGGGAAGGGACGCCGGGGCGATCCGGCAGCGAGGGTCCCTCAGGGTGGAGACCCCAGCTCAGGGCCGGCTTCCCACCCCACATCCCACCTGCCCTCCAGAAGGCAGCCCCTCTGCACGGGGCTCTGACCCAAGGCGTCTTAGGAGGGTCTCCACTGAAAGGCAACAGCAGTAAGGACTGGGGAGTCCTCAGGTCTTGCCCCCTGGGCCAGGCCCTCCCAGGGACCTCAGAGGTCAGGTTTTCAGCACTGAACCTGCTGATCCACTGACCTCATGCCCCTCATGCAACTCCCCTCCCTTCCTGGCCACCACCCTCCCTGCCCAGGTCCTGTCACCTCCCCAACCCAGGGCCCTGTCCGGTCCAGGGGGCCACACTGGTAGACAGAACTGTGGAGATCAACACCAAAAATTCTATCTGGGGAATTAATTAGCAGGGATACCCTTAAGAACAATAGAGAATGGTTTTGTGGCTTTCTCATCCCAAAATGGGAGAAATAGAGCCGCAGCCCAAGGTAAACCAGGGACAGGGACCCTGTGCTGAAGGGCTGGCCGGGATGCCACGCTGCCATAGGCTGTACCACTGCTGGAGGACACAGGACTTGGGCCTTGGGCCCTCTGAGCTCCCAGCGGCATCATCTTTGGGAGCAGGCAACCCCAGCGGGGCCCAGGCAGAGCTGGCCATGACCACAGGACCTTGGTGGCAGGCAGGGGCCAATGGCTCACCAGGCTAGCGGCTCCAGGAAGTTAAGTCATCTGTTCATGTGTCAGGGGAAGGGAAGGAGGAGTGCAGAAACCTTTGGGGGCAACCTGAGACCCCCCCACCCAGCCCACTCCACGGAGGCCTGGGCTCCCAGAGGAGGAAGTGGCTTAGTCTAAAGAGGTTGGTTGGGCAGGGAGGCCGGGCAAAGGTTGTGCTGGTCCCCACAGCTCTGGGGCTGCCCCCTGTGGGGTGCTGGACCCCCTGCAGCAGGTGGGGGACTCCTTGAGGTCACGTGGACACAGGGTCTCAGGCGCTGGCAGGCTGGGAGTCTGTCAAGCTGTGGCTGGTGAAGAGAGCCCAGCCCACCCCCAGCCCTGCCCCAGGGTCCATGGCAGTCTGACCTCCTGGGTCCCCAGCTGGGCTGTCCCAGACCCGCCTACTTGTCATCCTGCTAGGGCCCGGAAAGGCTGGGGAAAAGACTGGAGGCAGCCAAGGGCAGGCAGCACATGGCCCCGCATGGGGGTGCCCTGGCGACCAGGCTCCAGGGGGCCCGCAGTGGTGGGTGGTCCTCTGGGTGGCCAAGGTGGCACAGGAGCAGCCCAGGAGGCACCCAAGGCTGGCCACACTGCCCCCATCCACAGGTGCAGGTGCCAATCCACCCCCTGTGGGCTGTGGCATCCGTGAGAGAGAAGCAGAAAGTTGGTCAACACGGCACCAGCTTCAGGGCCCTAGAGCTCACACCCTTCCCGCACTGAGATAGCCTCAGCCCAGGATGTCTCAGCCCCGAACAGCTGTGCACCCCTCACACTCCCTCAGCGCTGCCCCTGGCATTTGGCAGGCAGGAGAGTTCCAGCAGGTTCAGCAGCCCCTACAGGGCCCTGTGCCAGCAGGTGGCCCCTATGCACCCCTATTTCATCTCCCCAAGCTCTTGGGTTCCTGGGATTCCCCTGTGGGTAGTGGCAGACCCAAGTCTTTCCCCCAAACACCCTGTCACTGCCAGAACTGATGCAGACCCAAGGCGAGAGACCCTCACACTTCCCAGCCACAGACCATCGGCCACCCCCTCCTCCCAAGCCTCTGACTCAGCCCAAGTCCACAGAAATGCCCCCAAGGAACCCACCGATCCCTGCACACCAGACAGCAGCCACCCCCTCTTCTGAGGCCTGGCCCCTGCCCTCCCCTAACTCTGGGGGTTCTGCAGCAACAGCCCTGGCCTTGCCTGAGGAAAGAATCAAAATAACTTTTTTAAAATAAAATTATAGATATATAGATGTAGATATAAAAACATAAAACAGAAACAACGCAAGCGGACGCTGTTGTGTGCTTACTCTCAGGTCCCTGACACCAAGGGAAGCACTGACCCCTCCCCAGTGTGCTTTGCCACGGCGTGAGCACCGCAGCCAGGCCGGGGCTGGGGACGTGGCATGCCTTGGGGCAGGGTTCTCCAGTTTGGCAGGGAGGGCCTGAGGGCTGGGGAGGAGGCTCTGGGTGTCACAGGCCCCGTGGCAGCATCACCCCCGTGCCTGCTCCCGCCTGCCCCGTTGCCTCCCATAAGAGCATAAAAAAAGGTTCAGGCTTTGGTGAAAGGGACGGCGGCGGCCGGAACACTGACACATGGCTGGCCATCTGTCCACCCATCCACCACTACCCAGAGCAGATCAGAGCAGAAGCATCATTGGCCTTGCCAAGCTACGAGCTTCCAGCGGGGTCCATGAAAGGCAACGTGTTAGGAGTAGCCTGGCTGGGGACACTCGGTCTGGGAACCCACAGGCTGTGTCGGAAGGACGGCGGGGGCCCTGGGTGCCTCTGTCGATCTCTGGGACCCATCCGTAAGGGGACCGTTGGGGGCTGGCCTGGCAATGACCTGGGGTGCATGGGTGATGGGAGTGAGCCAAGCCTGGCTGAGAGAGCGTGCCCCAAAGAGACTGACTGGGCCCCCTCACTGCCCCAGCCATGGGATGGGCCCAGACACAGACCAGCCCAGTGGCCCTTGGCCCAGTGAGCCAACTTCCCCATGGGCAGATGAGTGGACGGGCAGATGAGTGGACAGGCAGGCAGAGCGCTTGCGGCAAGCTGTGGAGGCGTGGCACTCTCTCCCGCCGATGGGTCCACACCAGGCTGGGGTGGCCTTGGGTCCCTGGGGCAGAGAAGTTGATGGGGAACGGGGGTGTGCTGCGGGGTCCTGGTCCCCGTGGCACCACGGCGGATGGGTGGTGGTCAGTCCTCACACCAGGATCTCGTACATGGTCCCACCCACGCCAGACACCTTCTTAACCAGCGTGTGCCACATAGATCTGGCAGAGGGCCCTGGGGGGCCTGTGGCAGGTCCCAGCCGGGCCAGGCCCAGAGACTGCCCATTAAGCTTACCTGGGGGAGTCTTCAGCTGAGGGTGGTCCCTGCATCAAAACAAGCACATACACGCATGCACACGGTGAACACACGAACACGGGGACAGAGGACGGAGGAGGCAACAGGACAGAGACGACACAGACGTGGACTGGTGTAGCCATGTCGTGGGGCCCTGGGCAGTCCCTGCCCTCTAGGCTCGGAGGGTTCACCCAGAAAGTAGGAGGGAGATGCAGAGCCTGCCTGGGGAGCGGCTGTGCCATCACAGGACAGATGTTGTCAGAACTGCCACCACCCTCCCAAGTCCCTGGGTCCCTAGGCAGCACTGGCCACAGAGAGCATGGGGCAGTCAGGTGGGCACTGAATGGAGCCCCTGCCCTGCTCTGCACTGGGAGCCCGGCCACTCTGCCTGGCCTCATTCCTGCTCTCTCTCAGGAAAACGAGGGGCTGCCCTCCTGCCCACCAGCGCTGACCAACAGCAGCTCTATCCTTGCTGCTTAAACCTTCTCAAGGTGAGAGCCCTTTGTCCCCGGGCTGCGATCCCTGCCTGGCTGCAATGCTGCCCACTTCTAGGTCTCGGGCTCCCCACTCATCACTCCCAGTGGCAGCCTCCTCCCCAACTCCACAAAAGCTGAACAGACTCCTACCCTGTGGGGTAGGGGAGGCCTCCTCAGGGCTGGACTGCTGTGCCCTCAGCCCCTTTGTGGCCAAGTGGCCTGGGCTGGGCTGGGCGGGGCTGGGCTCTCCCCCTGGGGCCGCATCTGACGACAGGAAACAGCTGAGCCTGTGCTTGAGGTTTCCAGGCCCAGACGGGGTGACAGACGACAGATGCCGTGAGGACACC
Organism: Homo sapiens; assembly: GCF_000001405.40. Taxonomy (NCBI): domain Eukaryota; kingdom Metazoa; phylum Chordata; class Mammalia; order Primates; family Hominidae; genus Homo; species Homo sapiens. The sequence goes on from NT_187632.1 coordinate 44,859, forward strand.
ATGCGTCCGTGGCGTGGGTCCTGGCCCCAGCAGGTGTGCAGCTCTCCTACCTGGGCCTGGGCCTACAAGCCAGCTGACCCCGCTCTCTCAGTTACCAACCTGCTGGGTGCCTGGAGCCAGCCTGCTTTCTCCAGTCCTCAGTTTCCCCACTACGAGCAGGGAAGCCCCTGCTTCCCAGAACTATGTCCCACAGGGAGGGCCAGGGCCCGGCCACCCAGGGAGGCACATTCTGCTGCGAGGTAATGTCCTCAGCCCCAGCCTCCTAGAGATGCAGCAAAGCAGGCCCAGGGAGAGCACCGGGTAGACAGGGCCACTGTGACCCAGGATGCCAGAGCCACAGCCTAAAGGAGGCCCAGGCTGCCACATGATACTGACCCCAAAGAGAAAGCCCCATGGCCTCCTACGTGCTGGGTCTGTGCCAGCTCTGGAAGAACAAGTCATTGGGATCAGGACACAAATTCTCATACCCTGTCCCCAGAGCATGCCCAGGACATCCTCAGAGCTGGGCCACACGGGCTAGCCAAAGCCTTCAATGCAGGGTGAGGCGCATCCTCCCTGTCCCGTCCCCAGAGAAAAACTCAGGCCCCTGGGATGACCTATGAGTGCCCAGCCAAGAGGGGCCCTGCAGACGGCTGGACAGCTGCCCTGTGCCAGGAAGCCCACCCGCACCTCCCAGCACCCACCTCTGCACGGTCAGCGAGGGCGGTGGCTCTAGGAGGTCCATTTGGATGAAGGTGACACCTTTGGGGCCTGTGTAGGATGGTGAGTGGGGAGTGCCGGGCGGGGAGGGCAGGCCCTGGCGTGCGGGCGACCTGTGTGAGCCACTACTGGGCCGGGGCCCCGGGGCGTTGCTGCTGACCTGATCAGCCTGCAGGGAGGAGGACGACGTCCGCAGTGCACGGCTCACGGAGCTGGAAAGCGAGGACAATGATGTCTGCAGGACAGGGTTGCAGGCGCCGCCGAAGCCGGGCCTGGCCACAAGGTCATCTGTAGAGCTGTAGCACAGCGTAGGACCTCGGAAGCCCTCAGACAGCACACTGGCCTGCTGCAGGCTGTAGGAGCTGGGAGCATCATAGACGCCTGAGTCGCCGAAGAGTGAGTCGGCCTGGGAGCGCAGCAGGCACTCACGCTCCTCCCTGTCCTTGCGCTCCTGGATGGATGCCATGATGGTCCTGGACAGGATGTCGTAGAGCACAGGCGAGGGCTCCTGGGGCCGGGGGCCCAGCACGGGACTGAAGCTGTGGGGCAGGGGCCATGGTGGGTCGCCCGTTGCCCCAGGGTGCAGGTAGGGTGAGTGGTATCCGGCCACGCCAACTGCTGGATGGGCGAGGCAGGCGTGGCCACCAGGCGAGCCAGGGTTGAGCACATTATTGTAGGACAGGCTGCGATTGTGGTTGGGCAGTGCATGGGGGGGCAAAGATGCTACGGTGGGGCATGGGAGGCCCACCCTCGGAGCACAGGGGCTGCAGGGCCACGTAGTCCCCGCCCTGCCGGCTTGAGGCCTTGAGGCTCAGGGAGCACAAAGCAATGAGAAGGCATCAGAGGCGCTGAGCGGTGGGGATGGCAGGTAGGCTGCGTGCAGGCCCCCGGGCCCATAGTCAGGGAAGTCCAGGCTCGGCTCGACACAAAGTCCAGGCTATGGATGCTGTCGTCCCCCAGGATAAGGGAATCGGGGCCTGGAACCTGTAGGGAGAAGGCATTCTCACCACTGCCCACCTGCTACCCTGCCTGCAGCTGCCAGTCAGCACCCACGGGGTCCACACCTGGCACCGCGGCCTCAGGAACTGGGCCTCAAGGAGCCGTTAAGAGCCACATAGTGACCCATGGCCCTGTCCCTGAGCATCCATGGCTGAGGGGCAGGGGCTCTGCAGCGGGAGGGAGGCCACAGCTGGCTACTGCAGACACCCAGGGCTCAGCCTTTTGAGCTACGCAGTCCCAGGGGCCTACCACTCAGGGCAACCACAGGGAGGAGGGGCCTCGTCTAGCCTCTTTGATGGGCACGTGGGCATGGGCTTGGGCTTGGGCTAGGGACAAGAGCCTCAGGAACCACAAAGCCAGAAGGCGATCAGGGCCAATGTAGGCTCAATGCACTTGGCCAACCAGACCCAATCCCCCACTGGACCCAGGAGTCCCAGGAAGATGACATACCCGGAGCCCTCATCTCCAAGCAGGGCTACCGCCTCCTGAGAGGCATGGCCCCTGCATGCCTGCAGACTCAGACCCTTGACAAGGAGCCTAGACTCACTGCTCCACCATGTGACTCTCTCCAGGAAGGACATCAATCCTGAGGGGAGAGGTCCCCAGGGATGGGGCTGGTCTGGGTGCACGGGCCCAGCCACAGGCCTGCCTCTCCGGGTGGCCCAGAAGGAGGGACGGCGCCCTGGGGCTGTTCAGCATTCCTGATCACTGCAAAGACCGCCCTGCGCTGCTCACCATTCCAGTGACCACAGAGCACTCATGCAACTCAGGGAAGAAAAATGTGCTTTCTCCAGCAGGTCTCAAATTCTTCCAAAGTCTTCCCATAGGCCTTACAGAGTGACTAATGGTGGAATTCCACGCATCCTGGTACCCAGTGCTCCTGGAGCCAGCCGCCCACCTGGCCTAGGACAACGCTGGCCAAGGGACAGATGCCAAGCCTGGACGTCCCGTGCCAGCCCCTTCCAGGACACCCTGCTCCTCTCCGTGGGTCCCAGCTCTGGGTGCACACAGGCAGGGTCCTACCAGTCACACAAGGCCCTTGGTGACCCAGGCAGAGCCCTGAGGGGTGTGGCCTCAGGGGATGTGGCCTCTGCTGGAGAGGCAGGGCTCAGGGGGGGCCCTTCACGGGGTGAAAGCTGTGGGGAGAGCTCCTGGAGGCAGGCCTGGGGGGACAGGGCTTGGGCGTGCAGGGGGCAGGGGGCAAGGCGGGGGAGGAGTGGGGGGCAGGCCACGCCTCTTTACCTGCTCGCCTCATCCACAGAAGGTGCCTTAGGACCCGTGAGCCGGCCTAAACTTGTACATGGCAGGCGTCGGGGGGTGGCGGAGGCTGGTCCTCTGCACCGACAGGGCACTCTCTGGGGATGTAGACCACTGTCAGACTGAGGTCAGATGGGGGTCAACCCATGTCCCTCCCCAGGTGTGGCTGCCCCGACCTCACCAACACTGCCTGGGCGTGGGGTCTGCAGGTCACTGCTGAACGTGCCAGCCTCCATCTTGGGGGGGCAGCGCCGGCCCCAAGTCCAGCGGCTTATCTAGCGGGTCCAGGCTGCCCTTGGACTGGGAGGGGGCGGGGTCAGTGGTGTGTGGGGCTTGGATGATGGGCAAGGCTTCGCTAGGGATTCGACCTGGAAGCTAGTCCTCTCCCCAGAATCTGTCTACGGCTCCACCTACCCCATCCACCTCTTTTAGGCCCCCCCTAACTTGCCTGTTTCCCCATCCAAGGGCCTGACTGCCAGCTTAGGCCCGCACCGCAGACACTCACCTCCAGCAGACGCCCTCTTCATCGCAGGGGTGGGGCGGGGCGCGTCGAGGACCGAAAGTCGCTTTGGGGCCGGCGCCCGTCTCCCCGCAGCCAGGTCCACATCCAGGCGCCGCCGCTCCGGCCGGGCCTGGCCGCGGGACAACGCTAGGCGTGCAGGGCGAGGGCGGCGCGGGCCTCCGGGAGGATGAATGTCTTATGGAATCAGGTGGTTTGACACTCGAGGAATCCGCCCAGTTCCCCTGGGCCGGCCAGGGCGGGCCGGGGGCGGACCCGGGCTGGGCCTCGCGGTGGGCGGGGCGCTCACCTGGGCGCCGGCGCGGGCGCGGGCCCGGGCTGGGGCTGGGGAGCACGGGCCGGCGGGAGCGCGGGCGCGAGGGGGGCGGAGGGGGGTTCTTGGGCGGCGCAGCGGGCCGGGGCGCGCTGCAGGCCAGGCAGCAGGAGGCGCTCAGCCAGCGCAGTGCACCCGCGCCGCGCGGGCCCAGACAAAGGTGGTGTATTCCTAAAGAGGCGGCGGCCCCTGCAGGAGGCCGAGGGGATGGCGGCCCGGGCCGCAGTGGGCCAGGCCCCAGGCCTGAGAGTGTGGCGGCCTAAGCTGGCCCGCTCCCCAAGCGGGCAAGGGCTTTGTCCGGAGGCCTGGGCATGGCCTCTGCCTACCCACTCCCTTCCTGGCCTCACGAAACCCATGAACCCCTCCCCGCCGGCCCCCTGCACAGAAGCCCTTGCTGGAGCACGGTCGCCCCCATTTTTCAGTAAGAAACAGGCTCTGCACTGTTTCTTAGGCTTAAGAGAGTTCTGGGGGCCCTCCTGGGCCTTTGTGGCCCTCTCTGCACCACCCTAGGGACGGGATCCAGGCCTGATGTTACCCGTAACCCTTCAGGGGTCTCCCACCTCTTCCCGCCTGCGGAATGGGGACTCCAAACCCAGAAGACGCTCTCGGAGGCCACCTCCTTAGTATCCCCCACTCTACCAAGCCAGCTCTCATGGGGCAGGGGGGAGGGGGGACGGGCATGGGGCCAAAGAACCCAGTGACACCCCTGCACACAGGGGTGCAGGTGTCCCTTCTCTGCTTTCTGCTCGGGGCACCCACCGGGCCTCACTGATGTGCTCCTAAGTGTATCCCGGGGTCTTGAGACAACTGCCAGGCTGCCCCTGCACCTGGAGAAGTGCTGGGAGTCAGCTCAGCCGGGCTGGGTCCTCCCCAGGCCCACCCTGCATGAGAGGACCATGCAGATGAGGGTCTTGCAGGCCCACCTGGTGTCAGTCTGTAGGACCCTGACTCAGGGATGGAGTGGGCCAGCCTGAGGCCTTGATGGCCCTCCTTAGAGCCCAGGTCCACTGACATGAAGCAGAGAGACCTGGTGACTGGGCAGCCCTGTGCTCTCTGCCTGCCCCTGGCCATGGAGGTGGCCCTGAGGGACATGAGCAGGGTGCAAGGCTGGTGGCCTGCCTGCTTTGTCCAGAGGAAGTGAGGACCTACCAGAGCCCTGGTGCTCCCATCTCAGCCCAGTGGCAGGCAGTTTCGCGGGACGGAGACATACTGGATGGGCCGGGCCCTCTGCCTGGTGTGGAGGCTGCACTGTCCACACACCTCTGGTTGCCACTCTGTAGCCCTCATCACCTTGGCCTGCTTTATCCCTATCACCCTTGTCCCAGCCTAGGCTTACCAGGGCATTGTGGAGTGCATGCCATTCCCAGTCGCACAGAAGGTGAGGTGGGGCCCAGACACCCCCCAGCCACTCTGCCCCCTGGCCTCCTGAAGGGGTGGGCTGTGCACACACTGCCACCTCCCCAGGGGGTACTGGCTGCCAAGTGCCACCATCTCAGCCCTTGCGGTGGCTCAACGGGTCCTCCCAGAGCCACATCAAGACGTCGTCATCCATTGCACAGATGGAGAACCTCAGGCGAAGCTCACATAGCCAGTGGGAGGCTGAGGCCTGACCCCCAAACAAGCATTCTTCCTCCAGGGTCCCTGCACACAGCAGCCTTCAGACTAGGAACTGAGCTCTTGCCACAGGGATGTATCAGACCCTAGATGAGTCATGTGGCACTGGCCATCAGTCTGAGGACAGCACTGGGGTGGACCAGGCTCCAGTCTTGGGCTGCTCTGTGCTTGCAGAGAGGCCTTGAGACACTTCTGTGCTTACTGTGCAGGCGTCACTTCCATTATCAGTGACCCAGAGCGGCCCACTACAGCTGAAGATTGTGACCCCACCCCCTCTCTCATAGGTTTAATGCCCCTCCCACCCCTCCTGGAGCAGCCGAAGTGACCATTCTGGGGCATGGGATGGGCATGGGAGGAAATGGGGAGCCAGGGCTGCCCTGGAGACTTCTGGTATCAGAACCCTCTCCAGCCACCAAGCCCAGCTGTCCCCAGTTGCTCTGGGTTGGGGCCTGGGCCTCCACTTCCCCACAGGTCTGTGCAGTGGGAGCAAGGCAGAGGCCCGCAGAGGGACAGGCTGGTTTCCTGTGTCTGCCAGCTTGGTCAGCACCTTGGCCAGCGCCCTCCCCGCTGGAAGCTGGGCCCACTCCTCGGTACTGGCTGGCTGATTAGGTGTGGGCCAGCGCTGACAGGGAGTTATGGGGGTGCAGAGGCAGGACAGGCCATCTGTGCCCAGCTGATCTGAGTGCCCAGGTTTTCTGGACACGTGACCCTGGGGATCAGGAATGAGCTGGAGACTGGAGACAGCTGTGCCCTCAGGGCTGGACAGACCTGTCACACCCTGCCTGGGCTAGGTCAGCAGGGCCACACAGGCATCTGCCTCAGTTGCTCCCCACCTCACACCCACCCTGTAGGGCACATCCTCTGCCAGTTTGCTCAGCCCACCAACCCCCTCCAATGAGGCCAGAGGCTGCCTCACCTCCAATACCCACCCCCAACCTGGGGCTCGGCTGAGCAGGGGTCAAGAAGGGCGAGCACGCATTTCGAACTTGCCCTGGTTTTGAGCTGAGGGAAGCAGAGGATGCAGGAGTTGCCCACTCCAGAGGCCCTGGGTGTGCGTGAGGAGCCCTGAGGCTGGGCTGAGCCGCTTGTGGGAGACACTGTGCCCCCTCCATCTGAGATCGGGGCCTGGGTGCCCGGGACACTACAGACCTTTTGGGGAACCTGGGAGTCGGGAAGTCTAGAGATGGGACCCACAGGCTGGAGTCTGGGCTTTCATCCACACTCCCCCCGCCCGACACTCCCCCAGCCACCGCCTGCACATCAGGGGAGACAACATGCCCCCACGCCCACCTCTGTCCCCAGCAGGGCTGTTCCTCCCCTCATCTGCTCGGATCAGTGTTTTCTTTAACTGAGCCCCATGGTGGCGAAGGGAGAGCTCCAGCGGACCAGGCAGCAGAGAGGGGAGGGGAGAAGCCCTCAAACAGGCCATGCGCTCTCCACAGAGCCGCATACAGCAGGAGGGGGCTGGGCAGCCGGCTCAGAGCCCATTCTCTCCTGGGTACTCTTCTGGAATGGCCCCCGGCCCCACTCTGTTCCAAACATGGGACCGTCCAGCCTGGGCAACAAGAGTGAAACTCCATCTCAAAAAAAAAAAAAAAAAGTAGGAATTAACTAAGGAGGTGAAAGACTTGTACAATGAAAAGTACAAAACATTAGTGAGAAAAATTAGACATAAATAAATGGAAACATATTCCATGCTCATGGATTGGAAGACTTTATATTGTTAAGATATCAATAATACCCAAAACAATCTATAAATGTAATGCAATCTCTACCAAAATACCATTACTTTTTTGCAGAAATAGAAAAACCTATCCTAAATTCATATGAAATATCAAAGGGCCCCGAATAGCTAAAGCAATCTTGAAAAAGAAGAACAGAGCTGGATAAGTCACATTTTCTGATTTCAAAACTTACTACAAAGCTACAGTAATCTAAACAGTGTGGTACTGACATAAAGATAGACATACAGACTGATAGAATAGAGAGCCCAGATGTATAGTCAAATGATTTCTGATGAGGGTGCCAAGACCATTTAATGGTGAAAGAACAATCTTTTCGACAACTGGTGCTGGGAAAACTGAACATCCACACACAAAAGAATGAAGCTGGATCTTTACCTAATAGCATATATAAAAATTAACTCAAAATGGAACAAAGACATAAATGTAAGACTAAAACAATAAAACTCCTAGAGGAAAACATAGAGGAAAAGCTTCATGACACTGGATTTGGCAATGATTTCTTGCATATGACACCAAAAGCACTAATAGCAAAATAAAAAGACAAATTAGACTTCATGAAAATTAAATTTTTATGTGCATCAAAATACACTATCAACAGAGTAAAAAGACCACACACAGAATGGAAGAAAATATTTTAAAATCATATACCTGATAAAGGATTAATAAACAGGATATATAGAGAACTACTAAAACTCAACAACAAAAAAACCACCAACCCAATTTAAAAAATGAGCAAAGCAGCCAGGCACTGTGGCTCACATCTATAATCCCAGTACTTTGGGAGGCCGAGGAGGGTGGGTCACTTGAGGTCAGGAGTTCAAGACCAGCCTGGCCACCATGGCAAAACCCCGTCTCTACAAAAAACACAAAAATTAGCATGGCATGGTGGTGCATGACTGTAGTCCCAGCTACTCGGAAGGCTGAGGCACGAGAATCACTTGAACCCAGGAGGCGGAGGCTGAAGTGAGCCGAGATCACAGCACTGCCCTCCAGCCTGGGTGACACAGTGAGACTCTGTCCACCCCCTCCAAAAAAAAAAAAAAAAAGAGCAAAGGACTTAACTAGACATTTTTCTAAAGGTATACAAATGGCCAGCAAGCACTTGAAAGGATGCTCAACATCATGAATCATTAGGGAAATGCAAAGCAAAACTGCAATGAGACACCACCCCACACCCATTAGGATGAATACCATTAAAAAAAAACAACAGAAATTACAAGCGTTGGTGAGGATGTGGAGAAGTCAGAACCCTTCTTCATTGTTGGTGGGGCTGTATGATGGTACAGCAGCTGTGGAAAACAGTATGATGGTTCCTCACAATATTAAAAATTGAATTGCTGTATGCTTCAGCAACTCCACTTCTGGGTATATACCTGTGAACCCAAAATATCTGAGACAGGTCTCAGTTTATTAATAGAAAGTTCATTTTGCCAAGTTTAAGGACACACCTGTGACACAGCTTCAGGTGGTCCTGATGACATGTGCCCAAGGTGGTTGGGGCTCAGCTCGCTTTTATACATTTTAGGGAGACATGAGACATCAATCAATATGTGTAAGATGTACATTGGTTCAGTCTGGAAAGGTGGAACAACTTGAAGAGGCAGGGTCTTCCAGGTCATAGGTAGATAAGAGACAAACGGTTGTATTCTTCTGAGTCTTTTATCAACCTTTTACTGAATACACAATTTGGTCTGGCTCAGTGAATTTGCATTTTTGCATAAACAATAGGCAGAGAGAGGAAGCAATCCAATATGCATCTGTCTCAGGTGAGCAGAGGGATGACTTTCTGTCCTACATATTTGAAGATCATCTATCAGTTTATATTGCCAGGGTGAAATTCAACAGAACTGTTTTAGGGTAAAGATCTTGAGGCCCACGAGGAATTCCCTTGTAGGCAAATTGTGAGGGAGGTATGTAGCTGTTTTGTTTTGTTTGAGATGGAGTTTCACTCTTTTTGCCCAGGTTGGAGTGCAATGGCGCGATCTCAGCTCACTGCAACCTCCGCCTCCCAGGTTCAAGTGATTCTCCTGCCTCAGTCTCCCGAGTAGCTGGAATGACAGGTGCATGCCATCATGCCCGGCTAATTTTGTATTTTTAGTAGAGACGAGGTTTCATCATGTTAGCCACGCTGGTCTTGAACTCCTGACCTCAGGCGATCTGCCCACCCCAGCCTCCCAAAGTGCTGGGATTATAGGCGTGAGCCACCACGCCCAGCCGCTGTTTTTAATCTTTGTAGCTATCTTATTTAGGAATAAAATGGGAGGCAGGTTTGCCTGACATAGTTCCCAGCTTGACTTTTCCTTTGGCTTAGTGATTTTTGGGTCCTTAGATTTATTTTCCTTTCACATACCCAAAAGAATTGAAAGCAGGTTCTCAAAGAGATATCTGTACATCCATCTTCATAGCAGCATTACTCACAATAGCTAAAATATGGAAACAAGCCAAGTGTTCATCCACAGATGAAAGGATACACAAAATGTGGTCTATGTATACAATGGACTGTTATTCAGCCTTAGAAAGGCAGGAAATTCTAACACATGCTGCTACATGGACGAACCTTAAGGACATTATGCTGAGTGAAAGCCACAGTATGATTCCACTCAAATGAGATACGCTGAGGAGTCTCAATCATTGACAGAAAGTAGAATGGTGGTTGCCAGGGCCTGGGGTGAGATGGGAATGGGGAATACTGTTCAGTAGGCACAAAGTTTCTGTTTCACAAGATGAAAAGGATTCCAGAGCTAGACAGCGGTGATGGCTGAGGTAGAAGGATCACTTGAGTCTGAGAGGTTGAGGCTGCAATGAGCTATGATCAAGCTACAGCACTACAGCCTGGGTGACAGAGCAAAATTCTGCCAAAAAAAAAAAAAAACCTTAACATCACTTGGCCAACCTTATTCAAGAGCCCAGTGTGTCTGGGCCCCTTCAGAGTTAAATTTCCGTGAAGTCAACATACAGCACCTTTCACCGTGGTCACTGGAGGTTCCCTCTTCATTTCTCCTACACTCTTTGCTCTCCCACCAGATCGTCCCAGAACTCCTCTCTCTCTCGCCACTGATGAACTGTTGTGGGAAAAACCTAATGGCCACTTTCCACTGCCCATCTTCCTGGACATCCTGGCAGCAGTCCGGGTGAGGGGCTCACCTGCGATTCTGAGGACCCTCTCCTCTCTGGATCCTGACATCAGAACGTGCTCCTCCCTCTCTGGATGCTCCTCCCCAGCAGCTTTTGCCAGCAGAGACTCCTCTGCCTCAGTTTACAATCTCCAGTGCAACACAGTTCAGTTATGGCCTTATTATTCTATCTCTACACTTAAAAACATAACCTCTGGGTGATGCAATCCATTTCCAAGGCATTAATTATTATCTCCATGCTTATAAGCCCAAGGTTTTATCTTCATTCAGAATTACATAGATATAGAATTGCTCTGTTGATTTTCTGGCTTGGTTGTTTCACAGACATTACATATTAAAAACAATCCAACCCCCAAATCTTCTTCTTCTTCTATTTGGCTGTGACCCAGACTGTCAATAAATTGCACCAGTGTTTTTTTTTAAATTCCTTTAGAGACAGGGTCTCCCTCTGTCACCCAGGCTGGAGTACAGTGGCATGATCATAGCTCACTGCAGCTTCAACCTCCTGGGCTCAAGCAATCCTCCCAGCTTGGCCTCCCAAAGTGCTGGGATTACAGGCATGAGCCACTGCCCCCGGCCTGTGCCCGTGTATGTTAATTTGTGTATTAGTCTAGGACTCTGGGAAAGTTTCCTCATCCTGTATGTCCCTATGTCCTAAACAACCTGTGGCCCAGTCCTGTTCATTCCTCCTCTAATATGGATCTCCAAACGCTCCTCTTTATTTCCACACCCACTCCCAGCCCTTAACCTCTTGGCCCTTGAAAGGCCTCTGAGGAGCTGTTCTTAGGTTTTGGCTTTGAGGAACAAGCCTGCTAAGGTCACTCGTGTCCAGAATTTTGTGTGAACATAAGTGTTGTCGGGTGAGGTCCTCCAGACATCCTTGAGTTGGACGACTCCCTAAAAGGACTCGAAGAACTTCATGAAGCCCAACTCCCTGAAGGACACCACCTGGCCCAGGGCCCCACCATAGATCAGGCCGTCAGCATAAACTGCCCACAGCCCCAGCTACGAAAAGACACTCTTATCAGGCGAGTATTTCAGTGGTTTCTGGGCTTCCTCCCTGGAGCCAGGCAAGGCCAGACATTCTCTTGGAATGAGCAGGTTCTGAGCATCCCAGACCAACTGCATTAATTCTCTGCCACACCGTACATGTTTATTTCTCTGGGGCAAATGCCCAGGGACTGAGTTGCCAGGTTGTTCCGTAGTGGCATGTTTTGCTGTTGGTGGTGGTATTTGCTGTATTGGGAGGGGGAATTGCCACACTCTTTTCCAGGGTGGCTGTACCACGTTACATTTACCCAGCAATGTGTGAGTTGCCCAGTTTCTCCCCATCCTCACCAGCTTGTGGTGCTGTTTCTACACTGTATTTAAGGCATGTTGATGGATGTGTCATGCTGCCTCACCATGATCTTCATGTGTATTAGTCTGCTTCGGCTGCCGTAACAAAATACCACAGGCTGGGCGACTTCAGCACCTTAAACCGTTTTCTCACCATTCTACAGGTTGGAAGTCCCAGATCAAGGTGTGGCAGCATCAGTTCCTGGCAAGGGCCCTTCCTGGTTTATAGATGGCCCCTGTCACTCTGTCCTCATGTGGACTTTCCTTGGTGTGTGTAGGTGGAGAGAATGGGAGCCAACTCCCTGGGGTCTCCTCTAACAAGGACACAAATCCTGTCTTATCAGGATCCCAATTTATGACCTCATTCAACCTTATTTCTTACTCCAAATTCAGCCACACGGGGTTAGGGCTTCTACGCATGAATCTGGGGGATATATACATTCGGTTCATAACAATACCTTGCCAGGAAATGGCGAACATCTTTTCATGTGCTTACTTGACATCTGTATATACTCTTGGTGAAATGCCTATTAGTGTCTTTTGTCTATTTTGTATTTGGGTTTTCAAAAAATGCTGTTGCATTTTGAGAGTTCTTGGCACATTCTGGATACTAGCACTTGGTTGGACCTGAAATTTGCAAATGCAAGCAGACTTCATCTTATTATGCTTTGCTTTATTGTACTTTGCTGTACAAATTGAAGGTCGTGGCAATCCTGCATCAAGGAAACCTACAGGAGCCATCATCCCAACAGCATGTGCTCACTTTGGGTCTCTGTGTCAAAATTTTGGTAATTCTCACAACATTTCAAACTTTTTCATTATTATGATATGTATTGTGATAATCTGTGATCTTTGACGTCACTATTGTCATTGTCATTGTTCTGGGGCACCATGAACTGCACTCATATAAGACTGTGAACTAATTGATAAATATTGTGTGTGCTCTGAAAGCTCCACCAACCAGCTGTTCCCTCAGGTCTCTCTCTCTCCTTGGGCCTCCCTATTCTCTGACACACAATATTGAAACCAGGCCAATCAATAACCCTACAGTGGCCTCTAAGTGTTCAAGTGAAAGGAAGAGTTGTGCATCCCTCACTTCAAATCCAAAACTAGAAATAATTAAGCTTAGCCAGCAAGGTATGTTGAAAGCTTAGATAGGCCAAAATCTAGGCCTTTTGCACTAAACAGCTAGCCAAGTCATGAATGCAAAGGAAAAGTTCTTGAAGGAAATGAAAAGTCCTACTCCAGTGAACACACAAATGGTAACAAAGTGAAACAGCTTATTTCTGATATGCAAAAAGTTTTGTTTTAGTGGTCTGGTTAGAAGATCAAACCAGCCACAACATTCCCTGAAGACAAAGCCTAATCCAGAACAAAGCATTAACTATCTTCAATTCTATGAAGGCTGAGAGAGGTGAGGAAGCTACAGAACTGTTTGAAGCTAGCAGAGGAGGTTGGCTCATGAGATGAAGGAAGGAAGCCATCTCCCTAACAGAAAAATGCAAGATGAAGCAGCAAGTGCTGAGGTAGAAGCTGCAGTAATTACCCAAAAGATCTAGCTGAGTTCACTGATGAAGGTGGTGACACTGAACAACAGATTTTCAATGTAGACAAAACAGCCTTTTATTGGAGGAAGATGCAATCTAGGACTTTCCTAGCTAGAGAAGGAAAGTCAATGCCTGGCTTCAAAGCTTCAAAGGACAGGCTGATTCTCTTGTTAGGGGTGAATGCAGCTGGTAACTTTAAATGGAAGCCAATTCTTATCCATCATTCCCAAAACTCTAGGGCCCTTAAGAATTGTGCCAGATCCACTCTGCCTGTGCTCTATAAATAATCAACAAAGCCTGGATGACAGCATATCTGTTTACAGCATGGTTTACTGTAAGCCCTCTCTGAGACCCACTGCTCAGAGAAAAGGATACCTTTCAAAAGATTACTGCTCACTGACAATGCACCTGGTCACCCAAGAGCTCTGCTGGAGATGTACAAGGAGACAAGTGTTGTTTTCATACCTGCTAACACAACATCCATTCTGCAGCCTGTGGAACAAAGACTTTCAAGCCTTGTTATTTAAAAAATACATTTCATAATGCTGTAGCTGCAATACATGGTGATTCCTCTGATGGATCTGGGCAAAGTAAATTGAAAACCTTCTCAAAATGATTCACCATTCTAGATGCCATTAAGAACATCTGTGATCAAATAGGATGAGGTCAAACTAGCCACATTAACAGGCATTTGGAAGAAGTGGATTCCAACCCTCATGGATGACTTTGAGGGGTTCGGGACTTAGTGGAGAAAGTCACTGCAGATGTGGGGGAAATAGCAAGAGAATTAGAATTAGAAGTGGAGCCTGGAGATGGAATTGAATTGCTGTGATTTCATGATCAAACTTGAACAGATGAGGAGTTGCTTCTTAGGGGTGAGCAAAGAAAGTGGTTTCCTGAGATAGAATCTACTCCTGGGGAAGATGCTGTGAACATTGTTGAAATGACAACAGAGGATTTAGAATAGTGCATACACTTAGTTAATAAAGCCGCACCAGGATCTGAGAGTACTGACTTCAATTTTGAAAGGAGTTCTCCTGTAGGTAAAATGCTATCAAACAGCATTACAAAGCTACAGATCAATCTTTTGTGAGAGTCAATCGATGTGGCAAACTTCATTATTGTCTTATTTTGAGAAACTGCCACAGCAACCCCCCCCACAACAACCCTTCAGCAACCGCCATCCTCATCAGCCAGCAGCCAATCAGCTTCACGGCATGACTCCACCAGCAAAAAGATCAAAAAGATTATGTAGGGGTCTCTAAAGGCTCAGATAATCCTTAGCATTTTTTAGCAAAGTTTTTTCTGTATCACAAGTCATTAAGCAAACCAATATTCTTGTTTTTTTTTTTTTTTTCTTTTTTTGAGACAGGATCTTGTGCTGTCACTCAAGCTGGAGTGCAGCGGCACAAACATGGTTCACTGCAGCGTCGACGTCTCAGGCTCAAGCGATCCTCCCATCTTATCTTCCCTAGTAGCTGGGTCTATGGACATGTACCACCACACCCAGCTAATTTTATTTCTTTTTGTGGACCACATTGCCAAGGCGGGTCTCGAACTCCTGAGCTCAAGACATCCACCTGCCCTGGCCTCCCTAAGTGCTGGCATTACAGGCATGAGCCACAACACCCCGCCCAAGAGAGTATTTTTAAATTAAGGAATGTGCATGGTTTTTAGACATAATGCTATTGCACACTTAATAGATTACACTGTAGTGTAAACATAACATGTATATGCACTGGGAAACAAAAACATTGTGTAACTGAGTTTACTTCCATATTTGCTTTGATTGTGGGAGTCTGGAACTGAACCCGCAATATCTCCCAGGAATGCCTGTCTTTTCTCCTGGTCTGTACTTTTTCATTTCATCCTCTTAAGCTAAGTGTTTCATGGAGCCTAGGTTTTAAATGTTGATGAATTCTGATGTATCCATATTTGTATGGGTCATGCTTTTGGTGTCAAGTCTCAAATCTCTACCTAGTTGTAGGGCTCCATTTTTTCTCTTGGAATTTCTCCCCTAAAGTTTTATAGTTTTATGTTTAACATGCAAGTGACCCATTTTCAGTTAATGTTTGTATGAGCGAGGTGAAGTGCATTTCATTGAACAGTTTGTCATCAACATTTACCTTATTTTAAAAAACCCACAAATTCATGGTATTTCATTGTTTGGATGCACTGGGACTTATTGAACTAGGCCCCTCTCAATGCCTATGGTTTCTTCTTCCTTTTTTGTTATTATAGTAAGTAATGCAACATCCATTTTGTTGTTTTGTGTGTGTGTTTTTGTGGAGATGGAGTCTCAGTATGTTGCCTAAAACTCCTGGCCTCAAGCGATCCTTCTGCCTCCTCCTAAAGCACTAGGGTTACAGGTGGGAGCCACCACACTTGCCTGAGAACGATATTCTCATCACAAATATATTTGCACAAATGCGCCCCCACACCTGTTTGTTGTCATTCGACTCGGTCATGCAGTAGGCAAAGATAAATTGTTTGAACTTTATGTGGTCAGGCTATTTCTTTGATGGCTTCTGGGCTTTGTTTTATGATTTAGAAAGACCTGCATTCTTTGGAGTGGAGGAATTAAATGGAATTAAAAGTGTCACATCCATGTTTCTGCAACGCCTTTTGTGGTCTGTTTTCCAGATCTACCACCGCTCGGAGCCCTGGAGCTGCTGGCGCAGCCCAAGGAGGTCCTGGAGGGGCACCCCGGCCTCCGCGCCCCTGGGAAAGGTCCCCACCCCTCTGGAGCTTGGGCCCTGCTGGTACAGACCGGGAGTCCCGAGGGGAGTCGGTCCCCTTCCTGGCAGCCGTCCCTGGTGAGGAACGGAAGTCGCAGGGACTGCATGTAAAAATGTCCCAAGTACCCCTTCTCCTGCTGGGTTGCACCGTGCCTGGCGGTGGCCGCTGGGAACTCCAAGGCTGACACCCGCTATGGGTGCTGGACGCCCTCCGTCGCCCCGGGCCGAGAACACCACCTGAGGTGGATCTCTTGTTCTCGTAGCTGGGACCACAGGCGAAGCCACCGCGCCGGCCTCTGCACCCATTTCTTGTGCAGTCCTCTGACCCCGTGAGGTGGTCAGGGAGGATGGCCCGGGCCTCCTGGTCCTGGTTAGCACAGCAGGGCACTGCCAGGCTGGCTCACTGTCCATGGCAGGAGGGTGCAAGATGCAAGGCGGCAGACGGGTGGCCCGTAGGTGGGAGGGGGAAGGCCCGTGGGCAGGGACTGGTCTGTGTAGCCCGGCTGGCTGTGCTCCACCTGCTCCAGCCACAGCCTGGAGCACCTGGGCCCAGGTTCCTCCCCAACGCAGGCAGCCTCGCCAAGGCCTCTGTGGACGTGCCCTCCCCACTGAACGCACAAGGTATCCTCTGCTCTCCCAAGTGAAGCGGGGTCAGGCCAGGATAGGAGGTGGACGGAAGAGCGCTTGGAAATACGGGGCCCTGTAGGCATCTTACTGCTCTTGACAGCCAGACCCTCTCTCTCCTCTTGCAGTAGGACTCGGCCCAGCACTCTCCAAATGCAGCCAGCCCCTCCGCCCCAGCCCAGCACCATCCCTCCCACTCCCCCGGACTGTATGCAAACACACTGGCACACAGCAGCTTCGGCCTCTTCAGCCAGCTGACCCAGAGAAGACCCGTCCACAGCACTGACCCACACCTCACTACTCCCTGACACCGTCCCAGACCACACCCTCCTCCAACCCAGTCACTCACTTGGTGAGCAAAGATGGCCTGCTTTGCCCCAGGTCCTGCTCAAAACGCTTAGGAATCCATCAGAGAACAAAACAAACAGGGTTTCTGACTTCATGAAGCTTCCATTTTTGTGGAAGAAGACGGACAACAGAAGCTGTATTTATTAAACACTTACATAACATAGCACTGACTCCATGGCAGGTGTTATGCTACGCATTTTATAAATACAAATTCATTTGATCCTCATGAAAATTCTGAGTTAGGTATTGTTCATATAAATAAGGAAACCAAGGCAAAGGGGTTAAACAATCCACCCAAAGCCACACGAGTAGCAAGTGGTGAAGCCACAACTCAACCCCAGGCAGCCTGGCTCCAGAGCCCAGGCCCTCCACCTCTCAGTAAGCATGAGTGAGCAACACAGCATGCTAGAGGGTGAGTGCCCCGGAAAAATGGAGAGTAAAGCAGAGTAAAGGGAATCCGGAGCACGGAGGGAAGGAGACACACTGACATTTTAAACTGGGAGGCATGAGGATTCCCAGAGGAGCTGACATCTGAGCAAAGGCATGCAATGCAAGGGTTGAGGGAGTCTGCATGCAATATTGCAGGAAAGAGTGTTTCAGGGAGGGGGAGTCTGTCCCACAGTCCTGAGGCAGGGTGTGCCTGGAGCATGGGAGGAAGGTCCGGCCAGGGAGGGGACAGCCCCTGCCTTTTGTGCAGCAGAATGCCCGAGCGTGCTGCGTGCCCAATTCCCTGCCTCCCTGGTGGGCCGTGCTGCTCTTTCAGTACTCACCTTGACTTCCAAAGTGAACAGTGAACTTAGAGAACAGAGCCCATGACCTCTACTCCCTCTGCTTGTCCCTGGTACTTTCAAGCTGATGTTTGCTGGATCTGTCTGCCTTGCCTTGTGGATTCCACAAAACTACAAGGTCCAGGAGGATGAGCAGGTCCTGCCAGGGAAGCTTCTGACACCTCTGTCACTGGTCCTCCTACACTAGTGGTGAGCAGTAGCCTCTGCCTGGGGCGGGGAAGCAGCAGTAAGTAAAGGGCACTTGTATTCTGTATTTTCAAAGCATGCCTGCCCAATTCTATATTCAAATTTTATTCCCAGTAGGACCCTTTAAACTGGCAGGCAGCCAATTCCACCCTACTTGACAAATGGCAAAACCACCCACCTCGGCCTCTCAAAGTGCTGGGATTACAGGCGTGAGCACCGTGCCCAGCCTCAAGAATGACTCTCAAGAGGTGAGTAAAGACCGGGCTGGGCGTGGTGGCTCATGCCTGTAATCCCAGCACTTTGAGAGGCCAAGGTAGGCAGATCACCTGAGGTCAGGAGTTCAAGACCAGCCTGGCCAAGATGGTGAAATTCTGTCTCTACTAAAAATACAAAAATTAGCCAGACATGGTGGCACACGCCTGTAGTCCCAGCTACTGGGGAGGCTAAGGCAAGAGAATTGCTTGAACCTGGGAGGCAGAGGTTGCAGTGAGACAAGATGGTGCCACTGCACTCAAACCTGGGCAACAGAGCGAGACTCTGTCTCAAAAAAAAAAAAAAAGAAAGAAAGAAAAGAAAAAGAAAAAAGAAAAAAAAAAGGTAAGTAATGACCGAACAGTACAGGGTCCCAATCCCATCTAAGTAGGCTTAAGGCAAAGACTGAGCATTTACTTAAGTCACAGAGAATTTAGCTAAACGCAGTGAGTCACCCACTTCACACAGAGAAAAATGCATCCCTCTACTCCTGTCTCATCACACGCAGAATGCCCAGATTTCTTTCCCATAGTTCCCCTTGAACTATGCAGGCTACTCATAAGGAATTAAGAAATATGCATCAGACACTTCCCTATTTCTAGTTTCAGTCTTCAAAGTAGCCAAAAGAAAATGCCTTTTTGTCCTACATCAGAAATGGTAGGACACCTCTTTCCTCCCATTTATTTCCAAAGTAGATTACACCAATTTAATTCCATTTTATTTTCCAGAATAAGCATACAAAAAAATCCATCCTGGAAGAACCATTTTCAACTGGGCGTGGTGGCTCACATCTGTAATTTCAATGCTTTGGGAGGCTGAGGCAGGAGAATCATTGAGACTAGGAGTTCGAGGCCAGCCTGGGCAACACAGAGAGACCCCATCTCTACTAAAAATAAAAGAAAAATTGGCCAGGCATAGGGGGGCAGCCACGGAGTCCAAACAGCTCCGCAGAATCTAAAACATTTACCTTCTGGCCTTTTACAGAAAAAAGTTTGCTGACTCCTCCCCAGCTGATCTTGCTTGACTCAGTTCTCCCACCTCCACAAGATTAACTGACCTAAAACTCGACTTCCACCGTCCCTCTGTGTTCAAACCCCCGACAGGTTCCCTGATGCCCATAAAGCCCACACTGTACCCTGACATCCATTCGACCAGGAGAATAAACAAGAAAAGCCCTCAAGGACATGCCTTTGCTCATGCTGTTCTCTGCCTGTCAGGAAGCCCTTCCTGCCTTCCACCGCTAAGCCTGCCGCTGCTTACCTTGCCCTTGCAGTCAGGGCAAGGCTCTGGGAATGCTCCCGGCTCCCTCTGCTCTGCTCCCACAGCTCCCTATACTTACCCTCATCACAGCTCTTACCACACAGCACTGAAATCATCTATTTGTGCGTCTGTCTCGCCAGCTGCAGCAAGATCCCAGAGGGCAAGGAACACATCTTACTTATCTCCCATCACCCATACAGAACCCAGTACAACAGCTCATCAACACTGAACGCAACCCCAGCCTGGCCAGGCTGGCCTCCTTGCTGCCCCTGAATACATGCTGCTCACGCTCAACTCTGAGCCTGCGCTCACCCCAGCACCCCCACATCTCACTTAAGACAATCCGACCATGGCCTGGGCACAGTTCAAATTGCATTTCCTCCCTAGGCCCACAGAAGTCAATAGGGTCGCAGGTTCAAACCCCCAGCTCCTCTCACCCATGTGCCGAGTGCCCTTGCACAAGATGCTTCTGTCTCTGGGTTCTCATCGTAAAGAGGGAATGACTCAGTATCCCCTAACTTGCAGGGCTGACAACGCATATAAAGCTTCTGAACCGACACTTGGCATATAATAGATTTTTAAGAACAGCACACTTGTTTTCCCCAATCACACTGTCTATGCCATCTGGGTGTTTCATCCCTTTTCTTCCCCGTAACTGTTGTGTATATTACCCTGGCTCTCCTGAGGCAGGTTTGTCATGAGCAGAGACACGGTCGTAGTATACTTCCATGAAGCCGCCCCTGCCCTAAAACCCAGGACAACACAACACGTGGAGGAAGGGACCAAAGGATACAACTTTAATAAATAAGTTATTTCAGGTTATTTAGGTTTAAAGAATTGCTAATAAAAAAAAATGCAAAGCCCCAGGGGATCAGGAGTGAGCTAGAGAGCAGGCTTTTGCAGATGTTTTCATACTGATGACAAAGGCAGTTAGAGAGCGGGAGCAAGTGGGTTGAGGAGGGGACCAGCAAGATAGGAAAGAACTCCCCCTTGGAGGTGGTACTGTTCATTCTCACCCATCCAAACACTGCAAAGAAACCTGTGCTGACTCACTGGACAGTCTGGACCCAGCATCCTCCCCTGAAGACTGTCTCTGGATGACAGGAAGCCCCAAGCCTCAGAATTCCATTCCAAGTTTCATGAGCACTAGTCAGTGACAGTACCAGCTGATGTGTGGGGTGCTCACTGGGTGCTTACCACATGCCTGGGAAGATTCTAAATGCTTACGACCATACAAGGTTAGGAGGACTGTTACGCCCTTCATTGCACAGATGAGGAAACTGAGTCTCGGGGGGGATAAGGAACACACTCCCGGTCACACACTCTAGTAACCGGTATAGTACAGCACAGTCTGGTTCCAGAGTCCAAGCTCTTAACCACAACGCAGTTTGAGTGTCTTACTCTGATTTAGCTCCGCCATTTACCAGGTGAGAGATCTCAGGCAAGTCATCTAACCTCACTGCGCCTCATCTTTCAAGTGGGCCTCATATGGGTAACTTTCTAAGACTGTCATGAGGATTGAAGGCAATCATGCCATGACACATATTATGAAGCGGACTCCTGAGAAATCAGTTCCCTCCCACTTTTCCCATATCCCAATATAAGTGAGGTTTTTAGCCAAACCCCTTGACCTCTTTTACTACTAGGAATGATCTACATGCCCTGCTGGATTTTCCTGCCTACTGCCTATGCCTAAGCATTTGGACCTCATAAAAACTTACAAAAATGGCCTGGAGACAAGCAAGAAAGGAAAGCAACTGCACACAGAACTGAGTGGGGCAGCACACCAGAGATGGCCCAGACGGCTCCTGGTGTGCAGATGAATACTGCATGAGCAGAGGTCGGGCCAGCCAGGCCCTGCCAGGACACGCCACAACTGACAGTCCGTGACAGCACCTAGATCCATGTACTGCACCAACAGGCCCAGATGACAGGCCTAGGAGGCTGTAGGCAGAGCCAGGAGCACCTGTGCCTCTGAGCCCGCATGAGTATAAGTGCTGTAGGGGGACAAAGAGGGGCAGGCAGGTTAATGTGACAGGCAGTCATTCCCACCAATGGTGGGATATCAGACTGCCTAAAATGTTGTCTATAGCAAGGTAACTGTTTAAATTCCTATAGAAGGAATTCTGTTGCAAAATTCCTTTACTGTGAAGAATTTAATTTCAAGCCAAGAAGTACAGATACACACTAGTTTATCTTGAAGGTAAATCCACATTTCCATACATCAAGTTTGCTTGAAGGGTAAGAGATACCTTTAAGCCATGAACCCTTCCCCTGGGCTGGTGGTCATGCACAGAGGGAACCTGTCACTAGCAGCATGTAAAAGTGTCCTTCGGGGCCAGGTGCAGTGGCTCACACCTGTAATCCCAGCACTTTGGGAGGTTGAGGTGGGCAGATCACAAGGTCAGGAGTTCGAGGCCAGCCTGGCCAACACAGTGAAACCCCGTCTCTACTGAAAATACAAAAAATTAGCCGGGCATGGTGGTGCGTGCCTGTAGTCCCAGGTACTTGGGAGGCTGAGGCAGAAGAATTGCTTGAACCTGGCAGGTGGAGGTTGCAGTGAGCCGAGATCTAGCCACTGGACTCCAGCCTGGGCGACAGAGCGAGACACCGTCTCAAAAAAAAAAAAAAAAAAAGTGTTCTTCAAGTTAGCAAGTCAGCTCCATTAATATAGCAGGGAGCAGAAGCCAGGTGTTTAACTCATTTCTAGAAGATGTAAGTAATTTCTATTTGAATGGACCTGATCAAACGGATCCAAAGGTCTTAGAAAATAAAAGGTTAAAACCCAAGCAAAACGGTATCTCACTCATCATATCCAGTAGTAAGAAGTCCTATTAGGCCTTTTCCCACAATACATCAGCTTCCAAATACAGCACATGACAAAGAAATACTTCAGGAAGATGGAGGAATGGGGGGCTTGCTACCGTGCTGGCTGATGACATTATTACAAGGCTCCAACCAGCTCCGAGGCCGTGGTAGACACAGCACCGTGGTCCTACGGTTAGAAAGGAGCCCCAGAAGCAGCATGGACAATCTAATGCCCAAATCATGGATGAGGCGCCTCCATGCACAGGACTGCTCCCATCCACCGTTGCTAGAGCACCTAGGAAAGGGCACAGACTGCAAAACCCTCCTCTAGGAAGGGCTGCCCAGTCCACCGGGGGCAGCTGTATCTCTCGATGAGTAGCTGGGCAAGGACAAGCACATTGAGAGCACCAGGTCCAAAGTGGTGACGGGCCCAAGGGCAGCCTGCAGGCAAGGGAAATGGTCCCAGCCTTTCCTGCAGCCAAAGTGCAGGGCTGGTCCTCAGGAAGGAGTTGCAAAATGATCCTGTTTGCAAAACACAAACATTCCACAAACAGCAGACACAGCGGGTAGGTAAGTTCTAGAAATTCTCAGTCTTAGGTGCAAGAAATAAACAAAACCAAATCAAGAAGAATATTTTACTAGTTAGCATAAATTTGCTTAGCACTCAATGTCCAGGGCTTCCTGGCCAGTTAAATCCAGGTTACTGCACTTGCATGGCTGACAATGCATCCAACCTCTTAGAAATATCAACCTCTTGCAGACGCAGGCTGTCTTACCGCGTGGCACTGATATACAACAGGTGCTCAATAAATGTGCTGAAAAAAGTCAGTGTGTAAAGGATTCCTGAAGTAGGAATCCCCCCTGCTCCCTGAGGGTGGTTGAGGCTCAGGGGCTTGTTTGTGTCCCCACCCTACTACGCTAGGGCCTAGCACGGTGCTCACTACACCTGGAGGGCCCATTCAAGCTGCCACCTGTGAATTTCTTCCCTGCCTCATACTGTCTTTTTCTGCCCCACTCCTCTTCCTTTTGCTCCCTGAACATGTAATCTCATGGGATTTGGAGTCATTAGCTATGCAAATTATTGGGTTTATGGCCCTTTACCTCACTGGAACAACTTCCCTGCTGTAAAATGGGGTGAAAGGACCCTACCTGAAGACTAGAAATGATGTGTGCGCAGTCTGGCCACAGTAAGGGGAAGTGATCGCTGTTATGACTTGCTTATATAATTTTCCACAGGCCCCACTGTCTAAAGGAACTTAGAATACCAAAAGCAGAAAGTTTATTTGTTTTTCCTACCCCTGGCAAGGGTGGTTTTGAGAAAGCCTATCTGTTTTGGAAAGAAACTGACCCAAGCCCATGTCACTAGTTAAAATATTTCCTTTTTCCTTTTTCTCAGGGAAATGGATGACTGACTAGTCATGGCCAAACTGGGAAAAAGGTTCTGTTCCATAAGTTCATGTGCCAATTACACACAGCGATTAGGATTCCCAGATGGCTCGTTCTCTTTTTTTAAAATTTTACTTTAAGTTCCAGGATACATGTGCAGAACGTGCAGGTTTGTTACATAGGTATACGTGTGCCATGGTGGTTTGCTGCACCTGTCAACCTGTCATCTAGGTTTGAAGCCCCACATGCATTAGGTATTTGTCCTAATGCTCTCCCTCCACTTGCCTTCCTCCACCCCTGGCCCAGCTCATTCTCTTAAAAGAATCACCCATAAAGGAGTTTAGCTGGCGCAATAATGGATCTGCTTGGGTTCCACAACTTGGGAATCAGAAGGAAGGGAAGGACTTCCTCACCTTTCCCAGGAACAGGGCTGCCCTCAGCACTCTCTGGATTCCCAAGGCACAGCCCCCAGGTTCCTGAACACACAGTGTCTTAAGTGCCCCCCGGGAAGCCCCCCTGCGCCCACACCCTCCTCCCAGTGCTTTAGAACTACCTCCTGACTCTGCCCCCTGAGAAACAGGCCAGGAATATTTCAATGAATACGCCAATTAACCTCAATGCACCTCTCCTGGCACTTCAGAGAGAGAACTCAAGAGTGAAGAGAGGGAAATATGGAGGAGGGGTCTGAAGACAGGAAGCGGTGACCCCCCAGGACGGAGGTAACCCCGTGGAATATGCCCAAGTCAGTTGCCCTCAACTGGTCTGTGACACCACAAGTCCAAAACCCAATGCCTTCATCTAAATCCTGACGCCACCACTTGTTTTAGCCCTCTGTGCCCCACTTCCTAGTGTGAAAAGCAGGGATCATAACAGCACCCAGTCTGTCCGCTGTGGTGAGGACTCAGCGCGTTAAGACACGTGGGCACTCAGGACAGAGCGTGGCATGGCCAACGGTCTCTAAGCGTCTCTGCTGCTGCCATCACTGCTGTGCTCATCAGCGCCAGGTGCTGCTCTCCCACCTGTCCCTGTCCCACCACAGCCCGACAATTCTCAGCCACAAGGAGCTTTGGCAGTGGAGGCAGGGAGGAATATGGCTAGAACCTTTGTAAGCTGACTTTCTGTAGGCTGGGGACAGTCCACGCTAAAGGGTAGCTGCCATACCCCCGGGAGCTGCAGGTGCCAGGAGTGAGCACTCTGCATCTTCCCCCTGACCAAGCTGCTCCTCCTCTCTTCCCAAGCTTCCAACACTGGCACTGGCTTCCCAGGACCCATGCCACCTCCAGACTTCAATTGGCAACAGAAAAAAGACAGGGGGCTGGGTGCAGTGGGCTGCCTGTAATCCCAGCACTTTGGGAGGCTAAGGCTGGAGAATCACTTGAGCCCAGCAGTTCAAGACCAGACTGGGCAACACAGAGAGAGTTTGTCTCTACACAAAATTTAAAAATTAGTCAGGTGTGGTGGTGTGGGCCTGTAGTCTCAGCTACTCAGGTGGCTGAGGTTGGGGAGATGGCCTGGGCCCGGGAGGTCAAGGTTGCAGTGAGCCGAGATCATGCCACTCTAGCCGGGAGGCCACAGAGCAAGACACTGTCTCCAAAAATAAATAAATAAATAAATAAAGAAGAATGGGCAGGAGAGAGGAGAAGGCTGGGACTAAGGTTTCATTTCGCCTTTAAATAGGAAAAGTCAATAAAAGCTACTAGTTAACCACGTGGCTGTGCTGTCCATCCCTCTCCTGCCAGAGTTAACCAGAGCGAATCTCCTGCCAGAGTTAACCAGACTAAATTATTCAGCAGATATACAATTCAACAGACACCTGCAGATGTGCCTAATGCAGGAAGACTCCTCACTAGATTCCCTCACACATAACACACGTGCACTCTGAGCTGGGCGCTAGAGAGACACGGCCTAACAGAACACGAAAAAGATACTGTTGTCCTTGCCAAGGTCCTCACTACTTAGCAGAAGCTCTTGCCCTTCCGCTTCCACCTTTCATCAAGTTATAAGCCAACAGTCTCACTTCTTCTCTCTTCTTTAATCTGATTTCTGTCTTCCCTTTCTTTTTTCTTTTAAGAGACAGGATCTCACTCTGTCACCCAGGCTGGAATGCAGCGGCATGATTATAGCTCACTGCAGCCTCAAACTCCTGGCCTCAAGTGATCCCCCCGCCTCAGCCTTCTGAGCAGCTGGGACTATGAGTGTATACCACCATGCCCGGCTAATTTTTAAAATTTTTGTAGAGACAGGGTCTCACTATGTTGCCCAGGCTGGTCTCACCTGGCCTCAAGCAATACTCCTACCTTAGCCTCTCAAAGTGCTGGGATTACAGACATGAGCCATTACACCCAGCCTTTTCTTTTACTTTTTTTTTTTGTTGAGACAGTAAGGTCTTGCTCTGTTACCAAGGCTGGAATGCAGTGGTGCAATCTCCACTCACTGCAGCCTTGGCCTCCCAGGCTCAAATGATCCACCTACCTCATCCTCCTGAGTAGCTGGGACTACAGATGTGCAACACCCACACCCGGCTAATTTTTGTATTTTTCTGTAGAGACAGGGTTTCACCATGTTGGCCAGGCTAGTCTGGAACTCCTGACCTCAGGTGATCTGCCCGCCTCAGCCTCTCAAAGTGCTGGGATTACAGGCGTGAGCCACCACACCTGGCCTCTTTTTTAAAACTGTGGCAACCATCTCTCCTCTGTTGAACTCGCCAATGAGAAAAAGTCAATGGGGCCAGGCATGGTGGCTCACACCTGTAATCTCAGCAGTTTGAGAGGCTGAGGCGGGCAAATTGTTTGAGCCCAGGAGCTCAAGACCAGCCTAGGCAATGTGGCAAAACTCCATCTCTACAAAAAATGTAAAAAATTAGCCAGGCTTGGTGGTGCACGCCTGTAGTCTCAGCTACTCAGGCGGTCAAGGTTGCAGTGAACCATGATCACGCCACTGCACTCCAGCCTAGGTGGCAGAGTGAGATGCTGTCACAAAACAAAACAAAACAAAACAAAAGTAATCAACTGCAGGGTTTGGGGTGACAGTTTCCTGGTCATTCCTCCCAGTTTCTTGGTGTCTTTATAGCTAGAGATGGCTAAAGGCCACCCGCAAGAAAACAACTGAGGCCCATGGGGGCAGGATGCTGTTCTCTCCACCGGAGCAACCCAACCACTTGGGTATCTGACACCACCCATCACCCCCCCAACTCCAGGGGATCCGAGCTGAATTCTGAAGAGTGGAACCAAAGATGACAGAGTGCGTGGCTGGAGAGAGGGGGAAGTCCACAGAGTTTAGGTAAATTTCTGAACCACATCCCCACCACGCCCACAATGTACTGCATTGAAGTACACTGGAAGCTAAAGACCAAAAAGGAATCAGATTTTCAGCTCTGCCACCTAAAGCAGAAACTGAGGGCCTTATTCACCTTCAACTCTGCCACCTAAAGCAGAAACTGAGGGCCTTATTTACCTTCAACTCTGCCACCTAAAGCAGAAACTGAGGGCCTTATTTACCTTCAACTCTGCCACCTAAAGCAGAAACTGAGGGCCTTATTTACCTTCAACTCTGCCACCTAAAGCAGAAACTGAGGGCCTTATTCACCGCACAGACTTTAGCCCAAGTGCCATGCCTCCAGTTTCACAGTTTCACCAGCAGCTCAAGCAAATGGCCTGGACACTAAAGATGGCCTCTGGGTCAGAGTATCACTCATTTCCTCTGTCCACAAACCACTTTGATTCTCTTTGATTCTCTCTGTCCCTCATCTCCCCATCTAGTCTTTTTTTTTTTTTTTTTGAGACAGAGTCTTGCTCTGTCACCCAGGCTGGAGTGCTGAAGTGCAGTGGTGTGATCTCAGCTCACTGCAACCTTGGCCTCCTGAGCTCAGGCAATCCTCCCACCTCAGCCTCCAGAGTGGCTGGGACCACAGGTGCACACCACCACACCCAGCTAATTTTTGTACTTTTTGTAGAGATGGGGTTTAGCTATGTTGCCCAGGCTGCTCTCAAACTACTGGGCTCAAGCAATCTGCCCACCTCAACCTCCCAAAGTGTTGGGATTACAGGCATGAGCCACTGCACCCGGCCCATCTGGTCTTATTAAATACTTCATTCTCTGCAAATGCAGATGTTTTCTCAGCTCTGATTATTTTTTCTAAAGTAATGACCCTCCACCTGGCTAGACAAATGCTTCTAGCAAAGGAAAAGACCAGGGTGTGAAAACTGTACTGCAATAGAACATAAAGCCCGTCCAACCCCCACCTCCCATCAGACCTGGGGTGGTGGCAGCAGCAGGCATCGGGGCTCTCAGGCCTGCCCATTAGTCATCCCTAAGGCCTGTTAGCACACAGGTTAGGAGGAGCACACACTCTGGAATCAGAAAGCCCAGGATTGAGCCCAGCCCTGCTTTCAGTTAAGGCTTTGTCAGTCACTATCACTCCCTTGACCTAGGACCTCACAAAACCTTGTCATCTGTAAAACTGGGGATAATAAGTTCTACCTTGAGTGTTATTGTGAGGAATAAATGAGGTAATGTCTATGCAGCACCTAGCACAGATTCCTGCAGATAAACACTCAATAAATGTTAACTATCATCCACTATCTAGTTATCAGAAAAGCACAATGATATTGTATCTTTAAGTCCTTCCACTTCCAAAAAAAAGAAAGAAAGAAAGAAAAAGATGTGTGGATTTTTTTCCCCTAAAGGTATCAGTGAAGTGAAATTTAAGAAGGAAAACCTGGGCCGGGTGCAGTGGCTCATGCCTATAATCTCAGCACTTTGGAAGGCCAAGGTGGGCGGATCACCTGAGGTCAGGAGTTCGAGACCAGCCTGACCAACATGGTGAAACCCTGTCTCTACCAAAAATACAAGAACAGCCAGGCGTGGTGGCGGGCACCTATAGTCCCAGCTACTTGGGAGGCTGAGGCAGGAGAATCACTTGAACCCAGGAGGCAGAGGTTGCAGTGAGCTGAGATTGCACCACTGCACTCCAGCCTGGGTGACAGAGTGAGACTCCATCTCAAAAATAAATAAATAAATAAATAAAATCAACTTTATGGAGAAAAATTTACATTCAAGAAAATATGCCCATTTTAAGTGTCCAACTGGATGAATTTTCAGAAATGTGTGCACCCGCATGACCACTTCTACAATCGTGATACAAAACATCTCCATAAACTTAAATCCCTGTAGCCCTTTGCTGGCAGTTCCCCCACCCACCCCCAGGAAACCCCTGATCTGCCCTCTGTCACTGTAGGCTAGTTTTGCCTTTTCCAGAATTTCATATAGAGGGAGTCATGCAGTATGTACTCTTTTGTAGCTAATGTTTTTGAGATTCGTTGGTGTTGCTGCATTGTTTTCTACTGCGGAATAGTATTCCCTTGTACAAATGTACCATAATTTGCTCATCTACTCTTCTGTGGCTGGACTTTTCAGTTTGGCGCTAATATGAATCGTGGAGGCAGTTTTAGACCAAATTTAACTTAACAATACAATATGGAGTGATTAAGTCAAGCTAATGAACATACCTGTTACCTCACTTATTTGGCATTCTTTTATGGTGATACACCAAATTTCCTCTTATTTTGAAATATTCGTTATTATTGACTACAGTCTCCTGCTGTGCAATAGACCTCAAAACTTTTTTCTCCTGCTTGGCTGAAACTTTGTACCTTTTGAAGACGAAGTCTCCATTCCCTTGTTCTACCACCTTGCCAGCTCTGGTAACCATCATTCTTCTACCTTCTACTTCTATGAATTCAGCTTTTTTTTTCTTTTTTTTTTTTTTTTGAGATGTTGTCTCGCTCTGTCGCCCAGGCTGGAGTGCAGTGGCACAATCTCAACTCACTGCAACCTCCGTCTCCTGGGTTCAAGTGATTCTCCTGCCTCAAGTAGCTGGGATTACAGGAGCCCACCACCATGCCCAGCTAATATTTGTATTTTTAGTTGTTAAGGAGCTGGTTCCTGGGGCCATTTGTGGTGCAGGGTTTGTTGTTAAGGAGCTGGATCCTGGGGCCGCTTGTGGTGCAGGGTTTGATGGGGAAGACAGCCCCATCTTCCCCGCTTTTTTCTTCATCACTCTAAGTTTTATCAATTTTTTTATCTCTCTCCTTTCAGATCTGTCAGGTTTTGCTTCCTATATTTTTAATCCCTATTTTGGGGTACATATGCAGTTAAGATTGTTATATCTTCTTGATCACTTGCAATTGTAATTATAATTATGCAATGTCTGTCTTCATCTCTTAAATATTCTTGTTCTGAAGTCTGACTTGAGTAATATTAATATAGCCACTCCTGCTTTCTTACAATTTTAATATTTATATATACGTATCTATATTTCTAATCTTTTAATCTACCTGTGTCTGTATATTTTAAATGGATTTTTTGAAGATAACATCTAATTGAATCTTGCTTTTTTATTCAGACTGATAATCTATGCCATTTATATTTAATATAATTTTTATGACATTGAGTTTAAATCTGCCATCTTGTCATTTGTTTTCTTTTTGTCTCGTATATTCTTTTTTTCATTTTTCTTGCCTCTTTTGGGCTGTTTTTTGGTATTCCATGTTTTCTCCAACATTGGCTTATTAATTATACCTCTTTGGTTTTCTTCTGTTTTGGTTTAGTTATTGCTCTAGGGCAAGGGTCAGTAAACCTTTCCTGTAAAGAAACAGGTATCAAATATTTTAGGCTTTGGGAGCCATACTGTCTGTGTCACACCTCTGCTGTTGTAGCACAGAAGGAACTGTTACATAATGAGCTCAGATGTGTGCCAGTAAAACTTTATTACAAAAGCGGGCGGTGGGCCAGAATTGGCCCATGGGCTGGAGTTTGATGACCCCAGCTCTATGTCAGTCTATTTTCAAATAATCTTACACTAGTTAACATAGAGCATTTTAAAAGTATTTTTCCATTTTTTCTTTTTATGTAATTTTTGCACAAAATTTTTTTTGTGAAATTATGTTTTCACTTTAGAGAGTACATTATCTTCTAAATTAAAATGATTCAAAAATGCTTGTTGAAGTGTATTCACGTATTTAAATACATGAACTGTATTCACGTATTTACTGCTTCTGGCAGTAGTGTTCCTTCCTTTGTGTTGATCCAGATTTCCATCTGGCTTTTTTTTTTCTTTTGCAGGAAGCACTTCCTTAACATTTCTTATATTGTTGTCCTGCCACTAACAAATTTTCTCGGCTTTTCTTTGTCTCAAAATGTCTTTATTTCATCTTCATCTTTAAAGGATATTTTCACTGGATATAGAATTCTGTGTCGACAGTCATTTTTTTTAAGCATCTTAAGAACGTTTGTTTTGTTGTTTTCTGGCTTGCATGGGTTCTGACAAGAAGTCTGCTAGTAGTCTTATCTTTGTACTTTGTATATAATATACACCCCACCCCCAGCTGATTTTCTTTGTATTTATCCTGCTTATGGTTCATTGAGCTCCTTGGATTTATGGATTTATAGTTAGTCAGATTTGGGAAATTTTGGCCATTGTTTCTTTAAGTATTTTTTCTGTTCCCCTCCCCTTTTTCCAGTACTCCAGTTTTACATATTTTAAGTCACTAATATTATCCTAATTACTGAAGCTTTGTACTTTTTGTTTTTTGGTTCTCAATCTTTTTTCTGTGCTTTAATTTGGATAGTTTCTGTTCCTGTCTTTAAGTTCACTGACCTTTTATCCTGGAGTATCTAACCTGCCCTTGATTTCATTCAGTGGAGTTTTAAAATTTCATTTGTTTTTCATGCCTAAAAGGTCTATTTGGTTATTTTTTTCATATCTTTGGTTTCTCCTTCATTTTTGTAGTCTGTTGCTACGTAACAACTTTCTCCAGAAGTTAGCACCTAAAACAGCAGGCATTTGTTGTCTCGTGAAGTTTTTGAAATTCAGGAACCCAGAGCAGTTTAGCTGGATGGTTTTGGCCCAGATTCTCGTCAGAGGGTGCAGTTAGGGGCTTTTGTCCTGGGTTGCAAAGCTGAAGGCTTGACAGGGGCCAGATGATGTGCCCAAATTCATTTAGGTGGCCCTTGGCAGGAGACTTCACTTTCTCTCCATATGGACCTCTCCATAGGTCTGCTTGAGTGTCCTCACAACATGGCAGCGTTCAACGCAGAGTGAGTGTTGAATGAGTTAGGAAGAGACAGACAGAGCCAGCCCAAGATGGAAGCTACAGTGTATTTTATAACATAATCTTGGAGTTGATCTACTATCACATCTGCCTTTTTTTTTTTTTTTTTTTTTTTTTTTTGAGACAGAGTCTTGCTCTGTCACCCAGGCTGGAGTGCAGCAGCACTGTTATAGCTCACTGCAACTTTGAACTCCTGGGCTCGTGATCCTCCCGTCTCAGCCTCCTGAGTAGCTGGGACTACAGGTGCACACCACCATGCCTGGCTCTGCCGTTTTCAATTGATCATGTAGGCCAACCTTGGTATGATGTGGGAGGAGACAGCACCAGGGTGTGACTGCCAGGAAGCAGGGTCGCTCAGGGCCATCCTGGGAGCTAGCAGCCATCCCCTTCACTGTGTTCAGGTTTTCCTGTAAATTCTGCAGCATATTTATAATTGCTGTTTTAAAATCCTTGTCTGCTGATTTCATCATTTCTGGACTTATTTCTATTGGCTGAGTTTTCTCCTAGCTATAGAACACATTTTCCTTTTTTTGCATGCTTAGTAATTTTTGATTGTATGATGGTAATTGTTAATTTTATGTTAAGTGTATGAAAGGGTGCAAATTTCCTTGTTCTTTCTTTGAAGAGTATTGGGCTTTTTCTGGCAAGCAGTTAAGTTATTTTGGGGTCAGCTTGATCCTTTCAAGAACTGTTTTCACACTCTCTTGGGGCTTGTATGGATTTGCTTTTATTCCAGGGCTAGTTTAACTCTGCTACTAAGACATGACCCTTCTGAGGTTCCTAGCAGATGACCTGGGTGCTCAGCAAGAACACTTGCTCTGGCTGGTCGGCATGTGCCTGTCCCCGGTCCTGCGTGACCTCTGGAGTTGTTCCCTGACAGCTCCCCGATGTGCTTGGTTCAGCCTTGTGGAGTTGCATGCTGTGTGCGTAGAGTGTATTACTCAGCAGCTCAGCGAGACCTTTCTCCAGGTTGCCAGAAGCCTTCTGTGCACAGCTCCGCCCTCCACAGATCCTCCCTTCCTCTCAGCAGGACCATCATGCTGAGCTTGAGCTGTACCCCACGGCGCCAAGCCTGGAAGAGACCACTGGGTAGAGCAAGGGGTGTTCAGAGGTTCACTTCATTTGTTTCTCTGTCTTTAGACAGCCCAGTGTCTGTGAACAGTTACTGTGTGTATTTTGTTCATTTTTCTAGTTGTTTACAACATGAAGGCAGACCTGGTCTCAGTTGCCCAGCATGACGTCCCAGATCCACATGTGAGGAGGAGCAGCAGCATGGGGGTTCCGCTGCGAGCTCAGGGCAGGGGTCTGTATTCCAGGAACTTGGGTGGGCTTCATAGACCCCTGTCGTTCCCAGAATTATAGGCAGCACGGAGTGTGCTTGTGCACACTTTCCTGGGTGGAGAGGCACACGGCACCTCACGCATTGAAGCGTTGTGGCCCCTCGGGGAGTTAAGACCCAGTGGGAGGAGGACCAGGGCGGGGGGCCTGGAGATGGAACCGCACCTTCCCATGCTGCCTCGCTAATTCTACAAATACTGTTGACATCCTGTGCGTGTGGCCTTGGGCAGAGGGGTAAAGACCGGGCAGCCCTGGCAGGGGCTCTGGGGCCAAGGATGTCACCTTCTGGGGGTAAGAGCGAGATGTCCTTCCAGAGCCTGGGTTTTGAGAGGAGGTCACCCTGGCCTGGTTAGGATGAGTTGTCATCTTTTAGCTTTTGGTTTGGTTTCTGTTTGTGTTTATTTTCACTTTTTGCCATGGAAAGTTTTAAGCATATATATAAAAATATGGAAAACAGCATCGAGAAGTCCCTGTGAGCCCATCCCACCCTCTTCCCCCTTCCTGGATTATTCTGAAGCAAATCCAAGGTATCGTAATCAATTTAGCTGCAATCATTCAAGTATTGTAGCATGTGTCTCTGAAAGGCTGGTGACTCCATAAAGCCCTAACCAGAGTCCTTTTATTGTGGTAGGACCTGGTCTCGGTGGGTGAGGACAGTGGGGAAAGGGGCAGCGTCCAGCAGGGTGACCACCTGTGCGAAGGAGAAGAGAGACAAAGCACCTGGTGTTGGACCAGACAGGGGGCTCAGGACCTTGGGCTGCAGTTGACCACGTGAGGCCCTTAGCCTCCAGAGAAGGAGCTGGTTTAACATGACCCATGGTTGTGGAGACCTTGCTTCCTAGGTGGGGCTGCCGTGCCCCTACCATCCTCCCACATAAGCACGTTACAGAGATCTGTGGAGCCAAGGGGCTAGTTCACCAAAATAAGACCTGGCCGTGTCCACCACTCTGCTGGTCTGGCTGGGGCTGCCGTCACAGAGCCCCACAGCGGGGGCTGAGACCGCAGATGTGTGTCTCACACAGTTCTGGAGGCTGAAATCTGAGATCAAGGGTCACCGGAGTTGGCCCCTGGGGAGGACTCTCCTCCCGGCTTGTGGACGGCCGCCCCTTGTATTCCTGTGTGGCCTTTCTCCTGTGCACTTGGAGAGCTCTGGTGCCCCTGCTGGATCAGGACCCACCCTTATGACCTTCATCAGACTTGACTTCCCTCCTTAAAGGTCCTATTTCCAAATACAGTCACATGGGGATTAGGTTAGTATCTAAATTTGGGGGACACAGTTCAGACTGTAACAGTTGCTCTGCACAGCCCCGCTCGGTTACATCATAGATGTTTGCACACATCTGTGCACGTGAACTACGTGTTATCTGTTGCACATGCAGCGTTACTAAACAGGGTTCCCTTATACCTCCCGGGGTTCTCGGAGTGGCGTCTTCTCTTTTGCTGGGAACCTTGCCGCCTTTCCTCTCCCTGCCCCTCCCAGCCCGTGGGCCACCTGCTCTCTTCCACGCCTTCCTTTCTCCTCTGCTTGTGCAGCGGAAGGTTCTGCCAGCAGGGGAGTTAGTGAGCAGCCAGTGGAGGGTGTGCCCAGCCTTCCTGCTGCAGACCCGCCCCCAAGTCAACACGGACTTCCCTCCCTGCGCGCCAGAACTTTGCGTTGTTCTTAGTGGCATCTGGGGTCGAGGAGGGCGACTGTCAGCCAGTTGGGGGATGTTTTCTTCTTGGTCTCTCGGCTTCTGCTTCCCTGTGAGCTGGGCAGCCTCAGCCCAGGTCCTATCCGGTACTCAGCTGGCCTCGGTGTGCACAGCGCAGGCTTGAGTGCAGCCGTGGGGGCGGGCGGGGCAGAAGCAGGGCCCCTGGGAACAGCTGAGTCTGAAGGGTCAGAAGCCACGGCCCCTGTGGGGGGCTCTGGGGCAGCCAGGGGAGCTGCTCGTTAGTCGTCTCTGGGGCAGAAGGAAGGGACCTTCACCTGGGTTGGGACTGGGCCTGGGTCCCCAGTCTCACAGGGAGCTCGTCCTGATTGTACCTGCCCGGCTGTGACGGCTGAGCCCGGGCTCCTGGAGGCAAGGCCACCTCAGGCCTCCAGGGCCGGAGCCGCAAGGAGCTGCTGGGTTTCCACAGGGCCACGGGGGCTGCGGCCACACGGAGCGGGAGCACAGGTGGGAAGGGTGTCTGTGAAAAATGAAATCTGTTGCCGCTTCCTCTAGCTTAATTACTGGCATGGTGGTTGCAGAGTTGAAATGCAGCTTTAAAAGCCTTTGTGAGTAATTAGTGTCAAACACACAAGATCTACAAAGCCATAAACTCACAGCTTGGTGATATTACCAAGTACTAATTAAGAAAGAAAAAAGAAAATTCCCTTTCATGATCAAATTTTGAGCCCTGCCAAAGATGAAAAACAAGGCAATTTGCAGCCGATGGCGACGCCGGAGGGTAAGTGGCGTCCACAGGAAGATGGCGGCCGAGCGCGGCGAGCAGGCAGGGTCTGGTTGAGGGCTGGGGTGGTGACGGCGTGATTGTGCCTGGCTACCGGGTTCTCAGCCAGGCAGCACCTGATTCCCAGGAGAGATGGAATCCCAGCTCAGAAAGGGGAGACTCATGCGAGGGCAGAGGCAAGGCACCCGCCCAGAAGGATTGGGGGTCTCCCCATTTCACAGGTGGGGACACTGAAGCTGAGCTCACAGCCAGGAGAGGGACAGCAGAGTGACGGCCGAGACCATCTGCACTGCGAGGGAAGCAGCGCCCACCTTCCTTGGTGGTCCGGGAAGGCCGGACCGGCCCCTTGGGTCCCCACTGGCCTCAGCCACTGTGGGCTCGTCCAGCTTCAGGTAGGCGCCCGGCCACTCACCTGGGAGGCTCTGAGAACGACAGCTTCTGTCTCGTGAGTGACGTGGTGCCCGCTTTCATCCTGGGGCCCACAGCTGCCAGGAGAGGCCAGGCCGAGGTCAGGAGGCTCAGCAGCTGGTTCCATGACTTCCTCTTCGCTGAGGAGGTCAGGACAGAAGCTTCTAGATGACAGGCCGCCCAACTTGGTATAAAACAGCAAATTTCTGTGCCTGTGCTGTCGGGCTGTGAATGACTTCTCGTCTGTTTCATGAGATGCAGCTTCAGCCCAGGGAGCCATCAGATGCAGCCGGGCGAGACGCGGAGCCAAGAGCTGTCCTCGCCCCCCATGTGAGTGACTGGAGAGACGAAATTCTCAAAGTCTTGTCACTTACGGGGATATTTTTAACCCAGGACCAGGGAAGCACAGCTCTCATTGGTGGCCGAGTGCTCTGGCGCTTGGGCAGTGGGCAGCAGCCAGGTTATCGGGACGTGCTCAGGCCCAACAGGACCCCCAGAGCCGCACCTGCCCCCCACAGAGTAGAGCCGGCCCGGGAGCGGCCTTGGTCACATCTAATCCCACCAGCCGCCGACAGTGGAGAGCTGTGCCTGGCCCAGAGATGTGGGCATCACATCCAGGCTGCAAACACACGGGGACCACCTGGCCCCGCCAGGGTTCGCTCTATCCTGGCTTGGCCTGCATGGCCTCTCGCCGTCTGCATGGTCCACTCACCCGAGTCAGGGCTGGGGCATGCAGGGAGTGTGCAGTGACATTGGGCAGAGGGAGGCTGCTCAGGTCCAAGTAGGCAGAGAAACCGCATGCCCAGGCCGCTAAAACCTTGAACTGCAGGAGCCCTGAGCTGCTGTTGCTGTTTTATTGTTTTGTTTTGTTTTGTTGTCAGATGGAGTCTCATTCTGTTGCCCAGGCTGGAGTGCAGTGGTGCGATCTTGGCTCACTGCAACCTCTGCCTCCCGGGCTCAAGTGATTCTCCTGCCTCAGCCTCCCGAGTAGCTGGGATTACAGGCACCCGACACCATGCCTGGCTTTTTTTGTATTTTTAGTAGAGACGGGGTTTTGCCATGTTGGCCAGGCTGGTCTCGAACTCCTGAGCTCAGGTGATCCATCTGCCTTGGCCTCCCAAAGTGCTGGGATTACAGGTGTGAGCCACCGCGCCGGGCTTGTTTTACTGTTTATGACGCGGCTCTGCTGCCGCTAGGACAGATACTTGTACAGCCCGATTCAAAGACTGTGCAGAGGCGTCTCCCAGATACCCCAGGGTGCACTGCAGTCAAGGAA
Organism: Homo sapiens; assembly: GCF_000001405.40. Taxonomy (NCBI): domain Eukaryota; kingdom Metazoa; phylum Chordata; class Mammalia; order Primates; family Hominidae; genus Homo; species Homo sapiens. The sequence goes on from NT_187632.1 coordinate 81,981, forward strand.
GGCTGCCTGGAGGAGGTGGCCTGGAGCTGGGGCTCACAGGTGAATTAGAGTTTGTCTGGCTGGGTTGGGGAGATGTTTCTGGCCTCAGGATCTCACGTGCTCATGCTCACCGGCTCCAGGGCACCCAGCGTGCAGGGAGAGCAGAGGGGTAGGCCTCGGGCTCCAGGCCAAAGTTGGGGAAAGAGAGTGTCAGACCTGGGCTTGGGGGACGACTCTGATGTCGTCCTCATGGGGGATGGTTGAGTAAAGGGTGGGGTGTGGCTCACTCGTCTGGCCCTCGCCCATGTGGAATGCCCACCGTGCTGGGCCCCGCTGCAGGTGCTGGACGCGCAGCAGTAATGCGGGGGTCCTGCTCCGCCTGGGCACATCTTCCAGCAGGGATTGGAGGGCCGATGGCCAGGCAGGGTCTGTGCTCTGTGTCTAGGTGGTTACGGGGGGAGGCGGGGAGCCTGGGCCTTGGCTGTGGGTGGACCTGTGGCTTGCTGACCTGGTGCCCAGCTGCCCCACCTCCCAAACTGTGAGAAGCCAGGACCAGCCCCATCCTCCATCCAGATGGTCTCTGACGTTGCCCTGGGAGCCGGGGGGGAGGGGTGGGGGATGTTCTAACTGAAGGGCCTGGGCGGCCTAGAGCCCTTCTGTATCTTCTGGCCAATGGTTTTATCTGGTCCACTGCCTCCCAAGCCTGCACATCCCATCACGCGCATTTAAACTGTTAAAAAGTTACTCCCTTGACTAAGCCGGAAATGCTCTCTATGGCCCTGTGGATCTGCGTCCAGTTCCCCACGACATTCCGTTTTTGGAGGCTTTGTGAAGAGGCTGGGGGTTTGTCAGCCCCACTCGGAAGCGAACAGGCTGGTTCCCCGCCCCAGTCCCAGCTTCTCCTGCGGGCAGCTGGCCTGAGAGCCAAGCACTCCCCAGGCCATGGCACCGGGTGGGCAGGACGCTTTCCTGCCAGGCAGGAGGCAGAGCCCTCCCTGGGACCCCGAGTGTCTGTCCTGGGTGGGGACTAGACAGTGACCACCACCTCGACCCCGGGCAAGCCCACCTAGCCCTGCCCCCCCACCAAGCCCTGCTCCACCTACACGAAGCTGCGGCCAGCCCCTTTTGCCCCCAACCTAAATGACTGAGAAGTCTGTTAGGGAGGGCCTCCCTGTCACTCTAAAGAGCAGGAACAGGACATCCCTGCCCCAGGGCACGGAGGCAGCTGGCCATCTGCGAGTGGGACCCGCCACGGTTGGCCAAGCTCAGGCCATATGAGCTGGGACTGGCAGGCAGTTCCTGGCTGCCTCAAATCTGGGGTCCAGACTCTCTGCTGACCTCCCAGAGCCCGGCGTGTCTTTGCACACTCTGTCCTTGTCCCCAGCCTCCTCCCCGCCCCAGGGTGTGCCTGGGACTTTAGGTAGTCTTACCTGTCAGTCATACTTTCTTCTCGGCCAGGGACTGTGGACGGCAGGACGTTCACCCCGTGGTCAGTGGCTGGGCCTTTCTCATGAAGCAGCTTGATTGAGATGTCATCTACAGAGCGTGCAGCCATCATCACAGTCTATCTTGGAATGAATGCCTTTATCACCCTGGAAGGAAACGTGCCCCATAGCCATCCCCTCCCAGCCATCGGCAGCCACTGTCTGTGTTCTGTCTCTAGACTCCCCTACCGGCAGTGTTGCAGGGAGATGGGCTCAGCGATGAGTGGTCTCTGGCGTCTGGCGTCTTTCACTGAACGTAAGGTTTTCACGGTTCGCTCACATTGGACCACGTGCTGACGCTCCATTTGTTACTGATGAATCATACAGTCTAGTGTGTGGATAGACCATGTTGTTTATCCGTTCATCCATTGATAGAACATTTGAATTGCTTCCGTTTAGGGCTATTACACACAGTGCCGCTGTGAACATTCGTGTACAAGCTTGTGTGTGGAAATGCATTTTTGTTTCTCTCGGGTGTACACCCATAAGAGGAAGTGCCGGGGTCACGTGGTAATTTAACGTTGAGCTTTGTAAGGAGCTGCCTCTTCTCCCAGGTTCTCCCCGTCCTCCCCAACACGCGCCACTGTCTGCTTTTATGATGCTTTTCCATCCCAGGGGCTGCGGGTGCCGCTGGGTTACAGGGTCCGTGAACCTCCTGAGATTCAAATGCAAAATGTGAAGTGGGTGTTGGCGTGGGTTTCGGGTAGAGGGACTGCAGCCCCTGCACGGGGTTAGGAATATGTTTCCCAGTCCAGGCAGAGCTACGCAGGAATCGCCTCTAGACACCCAAGAGGGAGCAGTTTTGTCTGGAGAAGTAGCCCACTGCCGTGTTTCACCAGGCTGGCCTGTGATAGCTGGACCTGCCCCGATGCCACCACCTCCTCCTGCCAGGGCTTCCCTGTTTGCTGAGTCTGCGTTATTGATGAGTCATCGTCTATATACACGCACCCGTGAGGCCGTCAAGGCAGTGAACAGACCCTTCGCCCCCAGATCCCAGGCCCTGTGCAGCCTGCCTTGCCCCTCCCACTGCAACCCGACCCCAAGCAGCCACTGATCCTTCTGTGTTTCCTGTCACCACGGGTTCATCCATGTTTTCTAGAGTTTCTGTAAGTGGAATCACGCAGTATCTAGCCTTTCTCGTCTGGCTTCTTCCACTAAGCGTAGTTAGTTTGAGATTTATCCATGTTGCTGTGGTATCAACAGTTTATCCCTTTACAGTCATACAGATAGACCACAGTGTCTTCATCCATCCAGATGTTGACGGGCATTCCGGTGGCTTCCAGCTTGGGGCTGTTGCAAATAAAGTGTACAGTGAACATTCACATGCAAGCTTTGCACGGACATTTATTTCTTTTCTCTTGGCTAAATCGGAGTGGAACTGCTTGATTGTGTGGTCGGTGCATGCTTAACTTTACAAGAAGTTGCCAAGCTGTTTTCCAAAGTGCCTGCACCATTTTCCATTCCTATCAGCAGTATAGGAGACTTGTAGTTTCTCCACACGGTCACCAGTACTTGACATGATCAGTCTTTTTAATTTCAGTCCTTCTAAGAGGTGACTGATGGCGTCTCATTGTGGTTTTAATTTGCATTTTCCTCATGACGAATGACACTGAGCATCTGTACCTGTGCCAACTTGCTGGTCTTCGCTGAAGTGCCTGTTCACATCTTCTGCTAATTATTTATGGGGTTCTATGTTTCCTTAATGAGTTTTGAGAGTTCTTTGTATACTCCAGATGCAAATCCTTCATCAAATATGTACATTGCTGGTGTTCTCTCCTTATATATGACATGTTTTTTCATTCTCTTAACAATGTCTTTTGAAGAGCAGACATTTTTAATTTTGATTAAGTCTAACTTACCCGTCTTTTATTTTATAGAGTGTGCTTTTGCTGTCGTATCTAAGAAATCTTTACCTAACCCAAGGTCACAAAGACTGCCTCCATTTTTTTTCTTCTAGAAGTTTTATAGTTCTAAATTTTACATTTGTGTTCATGATCCATTTTGAGTTTTTTTTTATATGGTGCAAGGTCTGGATTGACTCTTTTTCATTTTTTATTGCATATGAACGTCCAGTTACTCCAGTATCAAGATCATTCTTTTTTACTGAATAGCCTTTTGCATCTTTGTCAGCCTGCTAGGATTTTAATTGGAATTATGCTGACTCTATAGATCATTTTGGGGATAATTGACATCTTAATGATATGGAAACTTCTAATCTATGAACAGTTTCTCTCAGCAATGTGTTCTCATTTTCAATGTGCGGGTATCAGAGGCATTTGAACCAGAGTGACTCCATTTTGAATAAGGACTGGGTGAAATAAGACTGAGACCTACAGGACTGCTTTCCCAGAAGGTTAGGCGTTCATAGTCACAAGATGAGATAGGAGGTCCGCACAAGATGCAAGTCACAAAGACTTGGCTGATAAAACAGGTTGCAGTAAAGAAGCTGGCCCCAAACCCACCAAAACCAAGACAGCCATGAAAATGACCTCTGGTCAGCCAGGCGCAGTGGCTCATGCCTGTAATCCCAGCACTTTGGGAGGCTGAGGCAGGCAGATCATGAGATCAGGAGTTCGAGAACAGCCTGACCAACATGGTAAAACCCCATCTGTACTAAAAATACAAAAATTAGCCGGGCATGGTGGTGCATGCCTGTAATCCCAGCTACTCAGGAGGCTGAGGCAGGAGAATTGCTTGAACCCAGGAGGCAGAGGTTGTAGTGAGCTGAGATTGCGCCACTGTACTCCAGCCTGGGCAGCAGAGTGAGACTCCGTCTTAAAGAAAGAAAAAAGAAAGTGACCTCTGGTCATCCTCACTGCTCATTATACTGTAATTATAATGCATTAGCATATGACACGACACTCCCACCAGTGCCATGACAGCTTACAAATGCCATGGCAATGTTAGGAAGTTCCCCTATATGGTCTAAAAGGGGGAAGAACCCTCAGTTCTGGGAATTGCCTACCCCTTTCCAGGAAAACTCATGAATAATCCACCCCTTCATTAGCATATAATCAAGAAATATAGTATAAGTGTTAGTCGAGCAGCCCACGTCACTGCTCTGCCTATGGAGTAGCCATTCTTCTGTTTCTTTACTTTCCTAATAAACTTGCTTTCACTTCACTGTATGGACTCACCTCAAATTCTTTCTTGTGTGAGATCCAAGAACCCTCTTTTGGGGTCTAGATTGAGACCCCTTCCTGATAACATAGGTATTTCACATCTTTTTCAGATTTATCCCAAGTATTTTAGATTTTGATATTATTATAAAAGGGTTTTGTTTTTACATTTAATTTCTGTTGCTACTATATAAAAACAATTCATTTGTATATTGATCTTTTTATTTTGCAACTTCGCTAAACTCATGTGTTAGTTCCAGTAGCTTCTTAGTATATCTGATGGGATTTTCTCCTTAGACAATGATATTATCTGTAAGTACACTTGCAGTTCCACTTACCCACACTGGATGCTTGTGAAGTTCCTTGTTCTTGTGTTATTTCAGTAGCTAGAACCTTCAGGATGATGCTGAATACAAGCAGTGAGAGTGAACATCCTTGTCCTGTTTCAGATCTGAGGGAGAAGCATCCAATCTTCAGCCATTAAGTGTGGTATTCTCTGTACGTCGTTCATAGATACCCTTTCTCAGGCTGAGGAAGTTCTCTTCTAATCATAGTTTGCTGAGATTTTTTTTTTTTTTTGAGGAATGCCTGTTGGGTATGATCAGATGCTTTTTCTGCATTTATTGAGTTGATCATATGGTTTTCCTTTTGTACTTTGTTAATATGTGGAATTACTTTGATTTTCTAGGGTTAAACCAACCTTGTATTCTTAGGATAAACCCCACTTAGTCATACTACATTATCCTTTTTATATGTTATTGGATGTGAATTGCTAACCGTTTTGTTTTGAATTTTTGCATAAATATTCCTTAGGGTTGTTCCATAGTTTTGGGGGGGTGCGGCTTGTAATGTCTTCTGATTTGTATATCATAGTAATGTTGGTCTCACAGAGTGAGTTGGAAAGCATTCCTCCTCTTCAGTTTTCTTAAAGAGTTCATGTAGAATTCTTGATTAAAACAAACTGGAAGAAAAGAGTTAATGTAGAATTGATATTATTTCTTTTTTAAATAGTTGATCCAATTCATCAGTAAACCCATTGAACCTTGAAGTTTTCTTCCTGAGGTTTTAACTACACATCAGTGTCTTGATAGACATAGAGTTATTCACATTGTCTTTTTCTTTTGTGGTGAGCTTTAGTAGTTTGTATCTTCAGAAGTTTGTCCATTTTATCTGTTTTCAAAGGTATTGGCATAAAGTTGTTCATAATTTCTCTTACTACCCTTTTAACATCTGTAGGATCTGTAGTGCTATCATCCCTCTTCTTCCTGATGTTAGTAACTTGTCTCTTCTCTTTTATTCCAGGTCAGTCTGGCTAGAAACAGCTTTGGGTTTTATTATTTATACTGCTTTTTTGTTTTCTTTCACCATTGTTGCTTTGATCTTTATTTTCTTTCTTCTGCTTACTTTGTCTAATTTGCCCTTCTTTAGTTCCTTAAGGTCGAAGCTGAAGTCTCTGATTTGAGACCTTCTTTTTTTAATGTGGACATTCAGTGCTATAAGTTTCCCCCTAGTTTCTGCTCTAGTGGCATCCCACAAATTCTGATATTTTGTTTTTATCTTCATTCAGTTCAAATCACTTACTAACCTCCCTTTTGATTTCTTCTTTGACATATGGGTTATTTAGAAGTGTGTTAGTTTCCACATTTTTTGAAAATCTCCAGATGCCGTTCTGTTACTAATTTCTCATTTAATTTCATTATTGTCAGAGAACATTCTCGGAACGGTCTGAATCCTTCTACTTTTTTTTGGAGACAGAGTCTCATTCTGTCACCCAGGCTGGAGTGCATGGCACGATCTCAGCTCACTGCAACCTCTGCCTTCCAGGTTCAAGTGATTCTCCTGCCTCCTACCTCAGCCTCCCGAGTAACTGGGATTTCACCATGGGGTTTCACCATGTTGGCCAGGCTGGTCTCGAACTCCTGAGCTCAGGTGAACCACCTGCCTCGGCCTCCCAAAGTGCTGGGATTACAGGCGTGAGCCACTGCATCTGGTCACATTTCTTGAAATTTGTTTTAAGGTCCATCCAGAATGTTACTGCCTTGGTAAATGTTGTGTGTGTACTTAAAATCTGTGTGTATCCTGTATCCCACTGGAATGTGCTATATTGATGTCAAGTAGCTGACATTTTTAATAATGTTTGCAAAGCTTCTATATCCTTGCCAATTTTCTGTCTTCCTGTTCTATCAGTTATTGATAGATGAATATTGACATCTCTGACTATAATTACAGATTTCTCTATTCCTTCTTGCATTCCAGTTTTTGTTTCATATATAAATGGACGCTTTTATCATTATGAAATGACCTTTATTGCTAGTAATATTCTTTGCTCTGAAATCTACTTTGTCTGATACAGAGCTGCACTGTCAATAAGCAACCTTGGGTATATCGCGCATTTGGTTCCAGATCACTGTGATTAAACCAATATCACAATAAAGCAAGTCCCATGCATTTTGTTTCCCAGTGCATATAAAAGTTATGTTTATCCTATACTATAGTCTGTCAAGTGTACAATAGCATTATGTCTTTAAAAAACAATGTACATGTCCTGATTTTAAAAATACTTTATTGCTTAAAAATGCTAACGATCACCCAAACCTTTAGCCAGTTGTAATCTCTTTGCTGGTGGAGGTTCTTGCTTTGATGGTGATGGCTGCTGACAGATCAGGGTGGTGGTTGCTGAAGGTTGGGGTGGCTGTGACAGTTTCTTAAAAACACCAATGGGCTGGGTGCTGTGGCTCAAGCCTGTAATCCCAGCACTTTGGGAGGCTGAGGCAAATGGATCACTTGAGGCCAGTAGTTCGAGACCACCCTGGCCAACATGGTGAAAACCTGTCTCTACTACAAACACAAAAATTAGCCGGGCATGGTGGCACGTACCTGTAATCCCAGCTACTTGGGAGGCTGAGGCACGAGAATCGCTTGAACCTGGGAGGTGGAGGTTGCAGTGAGCTGAGATCGTGCCACTGCACTCCAGCCTGGGCAACAGAGCACGACTCCATCCCCCCACCAAAAAAAAAAAAAAAAAAAAAACAGCAATGAAGCTGGCCACATTGATTGACTCTTCCTTTCATGAAAGATTTCTCTGTAGCATGCAATGCTCTCTAAAACCATTTTACCTACAGTAGAACTTCTTTCTATCTTGGAGCCAATCCTCTCAACCCCTCAAACTGCTTTATCAACTAAGTTGATGTACTTTGCTGTCATTTTTCAACAATGTTCACAGCATTTTCACCAGGAGCAGATTCCATCTCAAGAAACCACTTTCTTTGTTCATTCATAAGAAGCAGCTCCTCATCCATTCAAGCTTGATCATGAGATTGCAGCAATTTAGTCACATCTTCAGGCTCTGCTTCTAATTCTAATTCTCTTGCTATTTTCACCACATCTGTCCATCTTCCTCCACTGACCTCTTCTTGAACCAAGTCATCCAGGAGGGTTGGAACCAACTTCTGCAAACTCCTGTTAATGGTGATACTTTGACCTCCTCTCATAAATCACTGATGTTCTTAATGGCATCTAGAATGACAGCTCCTTTCCGGAAGGTTTTCAGTTGTCTTTGCCCAGATTCATTAGAGGAAGCACTCTGTGACAACTATAGCCTTACAAAATGTATTTCTTAAATAATAACACTTGAAAGTCAATTGTCCCTTGATCTAGGGACCACAGGATGGATGCTGTGTTAGCAGTCATAGAAACAACGTTCATCTCCATCAGAGCCCAGTAACTAGTTGCATTGTCAGTGAGCAATAATATTTTGAAAGGAATTTTGTTTTCTGAGCAGGAGGTCTCAACAGTGGGCTTAAAATATTCAGTGCACTGTGCTACGTTTGAACAGATGTGCTGTCATCCAGGCTTCGTTGTTCCACTGATAGAGCACAGACAGAGAAGACTTAGCATCATTCTTAAGGGCCCCAAGAGCTCATTTACCATCTCCATATTAGCAGTAAGCCTGTTCTGCTTTCTTAACATTCATGTGTTCGCTGGAATAGCCCTTGTGATTTCCTTTACGAACTTCTCCTTTGCAGGCTAGCTGTGTGGTGCAAGAGACCTAGCTTTTGGCCTCAGTTTTCAACATGCCTTCCTCACTAAACTTAATTATCTCTAGCTTTTGATTTAAAGTGAGAGACATGTGAGTCTTCTTTCACTTGAACACCTAGAAGCCATTCTAGGGTTATTAATGGGCCTGGTTTCAATATTGTTGTGATGGTCGTGTCTCAGGGAATGGGGAGGCCTAAGGAGAAGGAGAGAGATGGGGGATGGCTGGTCAGTGGAGCAGTCAGAACACACACATTTATCAGTTAAGTTTGCTATCTTATGGGCACTGTTTGTGGAGCTCCGAGACCATTACAATGGTGACATCAAAGATCACAGATGACAGACTACCATAAAAGATATACTAATAATGAAAAAGTTGGAAATATATATGACACAGACATGAAGTGAATCCACGCTTTTGGAAAAATAGTGCCAATAGACTTGCCAGACACAGACCTTAAATTTGTAAAAAATGCAGTGTCTGTGAGGCACAGTCAGGCAACGGATGAAGCAAGGTGTGCTCATGTGAACACGGCGAAATGTGAGCACACTGTATCTGCTTCACGTTACTTTTAATCTACTGCGTCTTCATAGTTAAAATGTGCTTCTTAAAAGCAGGATATAGCTGAGTCTTAAATGTGCATAAAATCTGACATTCTCTGCCTTTTCACTGGGCCATTTACATTTAAATTGATTACTACTTTGATTAGATAAGTCTATCATCTTGTTATTTGTTTTCTGTTTGTCCTGTCTGTCCTTTGTTCTTTTTTCTTCCCTCTTTTTCTGCCTTTCTTGGATTGAATTTTTTACAAGTTCATGTGCCTCCTTTTTTGATTTGTTAACTGTATTTTTTACAGGTTGTGTTAGGATTTAGGGCACGTAGATCTTTAACTTAACACAGTCATCCTCGAATGATACGACACCACCTTACGTGTAGTGTGAGAACCTGACAGTCACATACTTCCAGTCTTCTCCTTCCTGCCTTAGTCGTCTGCTTATAATATATTTTATTTATGCACATGATAAACCCCACAATACTTTGTTTTTATTTCTGTTTAGTCAGCTATCTTTGAAAGAGATGTAAATAATAATTGTAAATGTTGTATATGTCTGCATATGCAGCTCCCACCCCTCATTCATGGAAGGAGTAGGGCTGTTCTTCCTTCTTCTTGTGTAGGCCCATGTTTGTTTTTATTTATTTATTTATTTTTTTGAGGCAGAGTCTCACTGTGTCACCCAGGCTGGAGTGCAGTGGCGCGATCTCAGCTCACTGCAACCTCCGCCTCCCAGGTTAAAGCGATTCTCCTGCCTCAGCCTCCCGAGTAGCTGGGATTACAGGGATGTGCCACAACACGTGGCCAATTTTTGTATTTTTAGTAGAAACAGGGTTTCACCATGTTGGCCAGGCTGGTCCTGAACTCCTGACCTCAGGTGATCCTCCCACCTCGGCCTCCCACAGTGCTGGGATTACAGGCGTGAGCCACCGGCCTGGCCTGTTGTGTAAGCCCCTGTTTGCATCCTCATTTTCCTTCTGTCTGAAGGGCTTCCTTTAATATTCTTGCAGTGTGAATCAGCTGCTTTTTGGGATATTTTAAGCTCTTGCACACCTGAAGAAGTCTTTATTTGGGGGGAGATATTTCCACTGGGTGGAGAATTCTGGGCTTTGTCTTTCTGTACTTTACAGAGGTGATCTCACTGTCTTCTTAATTCCATTATTTCCTCTGAGAAGTCTGCTGTCATCCTCATCTTTGTTCCTCTGTCAGTAAATTGTCTTTTCTTCCTCTGACTGCTTTTAAGATTTCATCTGTACTACTGGTTTTGACCAGTTTGATTATGATGTACTTTGTGTACTTTAATGTTGTTTCCTCCCCCTGCCTTTTTTTTTTTTTTTTTTTTGGTGGGGGGGTGGTTAGGGTTCTTTGAACTTCTCAGATCTCTCAGTTTACACTTTTCCACACATTTCAGAAAATTGGGGCCATTACTTTTTCAAGACTCTTTGCTGTCCCCACCACTGGCGACCAGTCCTTGAATAACATCGCTGCAGAACTCAGTGGCTCATGGCTTCTGGGGTCAGGAATCCAAGTGTGGCTGAGCTGGCTCTCTGCTCAGAGACCTCACAAGCCACGGTCCTCTTGGCTCTGCTGGGGAAGGTCCCACGTCCAGGTACACCCATGTGGCCGTCAGAAGGATTCTGCTTCTCATCCGTGGTTGGGCTGCCGCGCTGGGTTCCTATGGCAGCTCCTCGCCATGTGGGCAGCTCACGCACGGCAGCTGGCGTGTCAGAGCTCTGAGAACCAGGGTGGGAGCCGCAGAAGTCACGGCTGCCGTGACGTGACTGCAGAGGGGAAGCCAGCACTTGCGCCACACTTTGCATCAGCTGTAAGTCACGCTGAAGGGCTGGCGCTGATGCGGGTGATGCCTGGAGGTGGGGACCATCAGGAGCCATTTCAGAAGTGCCACCAGCCTGCCTCCGGGACTCCTGCCCCACGTGTCAGGCCACGTGACGTCACCCCACAGCCCACGCCCGATGTGCTGCCTCCTTTATATTTATCTTTCCGTTTTTTTCCTTTTTGTTTGTATGCACTTTTCTTTCTTTTTCTCATCTGTTTCATCTCGGACGGTTTCCGTGGTTGTATCTGCAGCTTCACTGATCCTGTTTCCGCAATGTCTGATCTGGCATGGATCCGTCCCCCGCACTTGTTGTCTTCATCCTTAGAAGGTCAATTTGGCTCTTTTTTGTCCCTTTTATGTCTGTCCTCAACTTTTTGGGCATATGGAGCAAAGTTACAGTGACTTAATGTGATCTGCCGCTTCTGACGTCAGGTCAGCCCTAGGTTTGTTTCACTCAGCTGATTTTCTCTTTGTTGAGTGCTGCGAGGCTGTGTGTGCATGTGTGCGTGTGCCTGTGCATGCACGTGTGTGTGTGTGTGTTCCTATAAATATTCGTGAGCTCTGTTCGGAGACACAGTTCAGGTACTTGGAAACAGCCTGGTTCTCTGGGTCTCGGTTTAGGAAATGTGAGGTGGGAGCAGGGCAGCGTCTGTCTGGGGCTCACACCACCCCTTGCTGAGGGGTGTCCATCTCAGTGCTGTGCCCTGGAGCCGCCTAGTTCGCAGGCTTTCCCGCGAGGCTGCCGGAGACAGGCACTGCTCCAGCCCAGTGTGAGCTTCAGGCGCCGTTTTCTGGGTTTTTCTCTCTAATGCTCCAGGTTTTCTCAGCCTCTCACCAAGCACTCCAGCGAACTCAGCCCTCTTCTCTGGCACTCTGTTCTGCGCCCTGGCTCCAGCTCCAGCCCTGTCCCTCAACTCAGGTCCCCCGAGGCCCTGCCTGGGCTGTGACCGTCTCCCCAGGCTCGCCCCGTCTCTCAAGGCCCACCACCCTTCCTGACTGAAAACTGTTGTTTCACATTTGATGCCTCATATTCTGGCTGTTTCAGATGGCAGGTGCATCTGTCCTTGTGGCTCTGTCTCGGCCGGAAGCTGCCGGCCGCCCTCTGAGGTGGGAAAATAGGCATTTTGTCTCCATTTTACATTCAGGAAACTTCAGCTCAGAGAGACAAACTGATGGGCCCCAGGGCCCACAGCAGATAAGAGGGGCAGCCTCACAGGAGGGCGGGCCTGCATCTCCGGCCCTCCTCACCCCGCATCCCCAGCATCACATTGCCCTAAGCGTGGCGCTCCACGAAACGTCACCCCCAGCAGCATGGGCCTCGCCTGGGTGGGAGGTGAAAAGGCGCAGAGGCTGCTGACGTCCTCTCCTGTTCTCATTCGGCTACATCTGGAAAGGGTGGTGCTGTCTAGCCTGGGCCCAGGAGGGGAGGACCCCACAGCCAGGCAGGGCTCAGGAGGGGAGGACCCCACAGCCAGGTGGGGCTCAGAAGGGGAGAACCCCACAACCGGGCCGGGCTCAGGAGGGGAGGACCCCACAGCCAGGCGGGGCCCAGGAGGGGAGGACCCCACAGCCAGGCGGGGCCCAGGAGGGGAGGACCCCACAGCCAGGTGGGGCTCAGGAGGGGAGAACCCCACAGCCAGGCGGGGCCCAGGAGGGGAGGACCCCACAGCCAGGCGGGGCCCAGGAGGGGAGGACCCCACACCCAGGCCGGGCCCAGGAGGGGAGGACCCCACACCCAGGCGGGGCCCAGGAGGGGAGGACTCCACAGCCAGGCGGGGCCCGGGAGGGGAGGACCCCACACCCGGGCCGGGCTCAGGAGGGGAGGATCCTACAGCCAGGCGGGGCCCAGGAGGGGAGGACCCCACACCCGGGCCGGGCCCAAGAGGGGAGGACCCCACAGCCAGGCGGGGCTCAGGAGGGGAGGACCCCACAGCCAGGCCGGGCTCAGGAGGGGAGGACCCCACAGCCACGCGGGGCTCAGGAGGGGAGGACCCCACACCCGGGCCGGGCTTAGGAGGGGAGGACCCCACACCCGGGACGGGCTCAGGAGGGGAGGACCCCACACCTGGGCGGGGCTCAGGGAGCCACTGGGCGAGGGCTGTGCTGCAGCTCCTCCCTCCTCACCTGCGTGCCTGAGCTGAGCACCTGTCCTGCCTGCCCGCGGCGTCCCCTTTCTTCCCTTAACCTTCAATGTGCTCTGCGCTCCTGCTGCCCTCGGGGCCAGTCCCTGTCTTTTAACCCACACTCAGCCCCTTCTCCCTCCTTCTCCATCCCCGCCACCTCCTCTAACTCATCCCTGTGGCCTCCATGCCCTTCCACGGCCCTTGGAGCCGCCCGTGGCGGATGCCACTCACAGCAGGGGCTGCTCAGGCCGCCCCACCCCGAGCTGGCGCCCCCACTCCCTCGGCTCCCCTCCGGCTGCGGCTGCAGGAGCAGCTGCGTGTGGCTGTAAAGCAGAACGCCCGTGTGCGAGGGGGAGCTGTATAAATAGAATAATAATAATAATAATTGTTGGTTTGGGATTTTTCTGCGACTGCTGGGGTGCCTGGCCTTGCCCGCCCCGCCAGTCACTCTTGAAGGAAAGGTCACCCTCGCCGGGAAGATAAACCCCAATAACGCTGGTATAATTAGCACAGGCAGTATTTAGATGCTTTCCTCGGTACAATTAGGCAGGAATAATTGGCTGAGCTATTTTCCCCATGCCGGACACACTTTTTGCCAGCTTCCGTTCTTTGGAACTTCATGCCGGGACATTTGTTCTCGGCATTCTGTCCAAGCTGTCCTGACCCAGTTGCCACCAGGCCCTCAGCACGGTGCTCACGCGGCAGCATCTGCGAGGCCTCCTTTGGGCCCGGCTGTGTCGCCTCCCCCGAGGGACGCTGGAGGGACAGTGCGGCAGAGAGGGGTGGGAGCTGAGGGTCGTGCACACAGCAGGGTGTCCTGGGGTCAAACCTGGACCTCTGGACCAGGAGCTCCGAGGAGCTGAGCTGGGCTGGGCCTGGAGCTGGGGGGCCTGTGCAGGGTGGGGCTGGGCCGGCCATGGGCATCCATGAGGGAGTGAGGCCATGAGCGGGGGAGTCAGGCATAGGCTGTAACAAGTCCTGTGGCCAGCCTGGAGGAGGAGTCCCTCGGCTGCGGTAATACACCAGAGGCGAGAAGCTTGCTCTCTCCCTCCTCAGAGCGCGGACAGGCCAGGCAGTGACTATCAGGGCTCGGCGGTGGCTGCTGCTCCTGGATCACCCTCGGGCCTTGGATGTGCAGCAGGCAGGCTGGCCCCACAGCACCTGAGACTCCTGTGCAGAGCCCAGCTGTGAGGTGTGAGGCTGCCAGGAGTCCTCGGTATCCCGGTCTAACAGGTTGTGTAGACCACGGTAGCACCAGCCATTTTCACGCTGTACCCAGCAGGCTCAGCACGGTCTTGACGTTATCACGCCCGAACTTTGGGATACAGATCACTGCTGCCGAGGTCATGAAGCCAAGCTGGGACTGTGCTAACCCCAGGGCTGGGACTGTGCCGGCCGCCAACCCCGCCCGGGGCTGGGACAGTGCCGACCGCCAACCCTGGGGCTGGGACTATGCTGACCTCCAACCCCGGGGCTGGGACTGTGCTGACCTCTAACCCCGGGGCTGGGACTCTGCTAACCTCTAACCTCCAGCAGCACCCGCTGGGATGAGGGCACACATTACCCAGGTTTATCACCTCTGGACCCTGATGCCATGGTCCAAGGCCTTCAGCCCCTGAGACTTTTTAGGGAAGGGAGGGCAGCCCTGGCCGTGGAGGCTCGTGCAGAGTTGTGTGCATGGTGAGACTGCCCAGCACTGTTCACAGGCGCTCAGACGGGCACCGCAAAGACCCGTGGACAGACAGAGCTGTGCCCCACCTGGGATTCGCACAAGCCCAACCTGGGTGCCCTGGCCACTGGGTGCCGAGGGGCATGGGCCCGTGTCTCTCACACCTCAGCAGCAGCCCTATGACAGGTGGCCTCAGCGGACTCTGCTGTGGCCACCTGACCAGCGCCACCCACCCCAACCAGCTGGCTGGGCTCACGCTGTGACCCACGCCTGGCGTCTGTGGTGCCACCAGCCAAGATGCCAGCCATGACGCCAGCGTGGCACCCCAAGCCCAGGACATCTGGGGCAGGTGGGTGGGCAGCACCGGCCTCAGCAGCCCACAGAGGGGCCTCCCACAGAGTGTCTGGAGACGCTCCAGGCAGACGGGCAGACGAGCAAGACGCCTGAGGGTTGCAGGCCAGGTGGATAAGGATTGGGGCTTGCATGTGTCCGCAGTGGGGAACCCGTGTGCTCAGCGGCCTGTCTCGAAGCTGTTCCGCTCTTGCAGATATAATTTAGATATACATTTTTCCTAATTACAAATATGCAGCATATAAAAAAATCTGGAAAATGCAGAGAACCATGAGTCACTTTCCATCCCAACACTCCGAGTTAACCGCCATTAACATTTTGAAGATTTTCTAAGGGTCCTTTTGCACTCTGTGAGTGTGGGTGTGAGAGTGTGTGTCGTGCTGCAGTGTGAACTTGAAGGGTTTTCTCACCCCTGAAGTTCAAGGCTGACTCTCGGCGGACGCTGCTGAGTCTTCTCCCCGGCTCGCCCCATGTGTGCATGAAAGTGCCTGGAATGCGTCAGATTCTCAACTTGAGAAGCCCGGAGAGTCTTTTGAAGTTGAAAACACTGATTTCCTTACAGCCTCAAGACAAAAAAAAATCTCCCCTTCGCTGGCTTTGAGAGCAGGTGTCTTCTACAAGCGAGGTTCACAGGGACCTGTGGCTGCCCCGGCAGATGCCAGCCAGGCACGCCCATCTCCTCTCCCACGGGTCCTGGTGGGGGAGCCTCTGTGGGAAGCCTGGGGGCTCCGGGGCCTGGCAGACAACCAGTCCTGCTGCAGCGAGGTGGGGACAAGGCCGGGAGCAGCTCACTTCCCAGTAGAGGCCATCCGATGGCACCAGGGCACGGGGCAGCTGCCGTCCTCATGGCCCGGGGTAACGTGGGCACAGGGTTTCCTCATCCCACTGTGCTCGGTGTCTCCCCTGAGCCCGGTGATTTTACGCACCTGACTTTGTTAGTCTTCTCGGCAATGCCCAGCATGCAGACCAGGCTCAGAGAGGTGTGTCGGTGTGCCCAGGGTCACGCAGCTTCCTGGTGGCCAAGCCGAGGTTAGAAGCTAGTTCTGGTGGGTGTGAAAGCCCCCGACGTCGGCAGCTCTGCCACCAGGCCCACACAAGCAGGTGGTGTAAGAGGGGAGGTGTTGGGGCCGGCAGTGCTCAAGTCAGGATCGAGCCGTCTATCTGGAAGGTCGTCGAGGGTGTGTGGTGGTGGCTGGGAGGTGGTGGCAGGCTAACTACCTGCCGTTTTCCTGCAGTGCCTAGGCCCAGGAGAGGGAGCAGCCCCCAGTCAGGACCCAGCTGCAGGACACCCCATCCTCATGCACCTTGCTTCCCGCTCTCCCTCCCCCCACAAATGGGCTCCCAGCATAACTTCCCCCAAGGGCTCCTTTCCTCTCCTCTCCCCACACACAGCCCTGCTCGGGAGTGGCGCTTGCAGCACACCAAGGACAGGAGGATTGGGCTTCAGGGAAGCAGGCGCCTGGAGCTGTGTCCAGTTAGGTGCATGGCGCTTGCAGATCTGAGCATGGAATATTCATGCCTCCCCCAGCCCAGCAGCTGCGGCTTCTCATCTGGAACAAGGGGGTGCTTCTCCCAGGAAGGCCAGTGGGAGCAGGGGTGTGTCTGAGAACGCCGGGCGCTCTGCCCTCACGATGGCTGCTGATGCCACAGCCCCGGCCTCTGTGCCCAGGCCACTCTCCAGCCTGGTGAAGTCTGTTCTGGGAAAAGAGAGAAGCAAGACAGATGTGGGCCTTGCCCTGTGGGGCCAGGGCACGGGCAGGAATCCCACTTGGGGTTAAGACGCTGCAGTCACCCCCCTCCGGGTTCTGTGCACTGGCCCCTCCAGGTGCTGGGGTCCTCTGTGGCCGTGGCGTTCTAGGAGAGATGGGCAGGGAGACGCTGGCGCCCTGTTGTGTAGCTTGTCCTTGTGTCTGCTTCACAGGCTCTTCCACTGTGCAATTTCCTAAAATTTTGGCGAGGCCCATTTATCCATTTTAATTTTATTCTATGGATTGTGCTTTGGTGTTGAGTGTCAGAGCTCTGCCTCATCCAGATCCTGAAGATTTCTTTTTTAAAATAATTCTGTGTTTTACATGTAAGTTCATGATACAGTTTGAGTTAAATTTTATATGAGATGTGAGGTTTCGGTCAAAAAAAAATTTTTTTTTAACTAAGTGTGTCCAGCTGCTCCGGCTCCAGCTGTAGCAAAGACAAGACTGCCCCTCCTCCACTGAAGCACCTTTGTGACTTTTTTGTGACTTTTCTGTATCGATTAATAGGATCATATGTTGTTTATTCTTTAGCCTGTTGATATAGCAGATTACATTGATTGATTTTCAAATACCAAGCTAGCCTCGTACACCTAAACTAAGTCCCACTTGGTCACGGCATAATATTCTCTGTTAGAAAGTGGCCTGGACACGTCTGTGGGTCTCTTTCGAGTTCCTCTGTTCTGTTCCGCTGGTCTCCACATCTCCCCTCCAGCGCTGCCCCAGCCATGTCTGTCTGATGTAGGAGCTGTATAACGCTGTGCTGTAGCTGTACAGTTCTCAACATCAGGAAGGGCAATTCCCCTACTCTTCTTTTTTGGAATGGCTTTCCATATACATTTTAGAATAATCTTGTGTCTCTCTACCAAAAAAAAAAAAAAAAAAAAGATGCTGGCCAGGCATGGTGGCTCACACCGGTAATCCCAACACTTGGGGAAGCCAAGGCAAAAGGATCGCTTGAGCCCAGGAGTTGGAGACCAGCCTGGGCAACACAGGGAGACCCCATCTCTATGAAAAAAACACAGCCATGAGTGGTGGTGCGCACCTGTAGTTACAGCTACTTGGCACGTTGAGGCAGGAAGATTGCTTGAGGCTGCAGTGAGCCAAGACCACACCACTGCACTCCAGCCTGGGTGACAGAATAAGACCCTCTTTCCAAAAAAAAAAAAAAAAAAAAAAAAAAAAAATATATATATATATATATATATATATATATATGCTGAGGTTTAGACAGCAATTACCTTAAAACCAAAGATCAATTTTGGAAAAATTGATTTACTATAAGTCTTCCAGTTCATAAACATTGTATCTATTTATACAAACATTCTTTTGATTCCTTTCATCAGTATTTCCTAACTTTCTGCAAACAGACACTATACAAGTTTTTGTTAGATTTATACCCAAGTATTTAAGATGTTCTGTAAATTATATTGCCTTTTAATTTTGTTTTTCACTTGTTTGCCATTGCTTTATAGAAATGTGGTTAATTTTTGTATGTTCATCTTATTTCCTGCAACCTTCGTGAACTCACTTAGTGTTCGAGGAGTTTTCTGCAGATTGCTCAGGATTTTCTACATGGGCTGTCACGTCATTCTAGGAGTTTTCTGCAGATTGCTTAGGGTTTTCCACGTGGGCCGTCACGTCATTCTAGGAGTTTTCTGCAGATTGCTTAGGGTTTTCCACGTGGGCCATCATGTCATTTGCGAGTAGGGACAGTTCTGTTCTTTTCCAATCCCTATGCTGCTGCTTTCCTTTTCTTACCTGCATGCCCTGGCGTGAGGAGCTCCCATGCTGGGTTGAGGATGAGTGGGGAAAGCCAGCTCTCCGCTGACCGAATGAGGGAAGGCGGCCAGACTCCTCCGTGAAGCAGCGTGAGCTGAGGGTTCTTCATGGTGCTTTTTACCAAGTCGGAGGACTTTCCCTTGATTCCTGCTTTGCAAGAGTTCTTGTCAGGAATGGAGATTAAATTTTGTCAAATGCTTTGCCTGTGTCAATAGGATCATATCATTGTTTTCCTTTAGCCTGTTGATAGGGTGAATAACATTGATTGATTTTCAAATTTGAACTAGCCTTCGTTGTACACCTAAACTGAATCCCACTTGGTCAGGGTGTGATACTCTTTTTCGTAGATTGCTGGATTCCATTTGTTAGTACTTGTTGAGTATTTTTGCATCTAAGTTCATGAGAGACTGATACTTATTTTTCTGTGTGTGCGCACCATCCTTGTTGGTTTCAGTACAAGGTTAATAGTGGAAAGGTGTTTCCCTGTCTTTTGTTAACTGAAAAAGGATTGTGTAAAATTGGTATTAATTCATATTTAATGTTCGGTAAAACTTTCTAGTGAAACCATCTGGGACTGGAGATTTTGAGTAGCATTTTAATTACAACAAACTCGATTTATTTAATGGTTATAGGACTACCGAGGCTATTTTATCTTGGCACGTTTTGGTAGTATGTGGTTTTCGACGAATCCGTCCAGTTCGTTATGAGCATCAAGTTTTGTTGTAGTATTTTTTATTGTTATTTTAATAGCTTCTGGATCTATTATAATATTTCCATTTCATTTCTGATATTGGTCATTTCACTCTCCCCCCTTTCTTTTTTTTGAGATGAAGTCTTGCTGTGTTGCTCAGGCTGGAGTACAGTGGCATGATCTCGGCTCACTGCAAGCTCTGCCTCCTGGGTTCATGCCATTCTCCTGCCTCAGCCTCCCAAGGAGCTGGGACTACAGGCACCCACCACCACACCCAGCTAATTTTTTGTATTTTTAGTAGAGATGGGGTTTCACTGTGTTAGCCAGGATGGTCTCGATCTCCTGACCTCGTGATGCCCTGCCTTGGCCTCCCAAAGTGCTGGGATTACAGGCGTTCCCCCTTTTTAATCTTTGTCAGTTTTGCGAGGGGTTTATCAATTTATTGTTGCTGGTCTTTTTAACAAATTTTTGAGACAGGGTTTCACTCTGTTGCCCAGGCTGGAGTGCAGTGGTGTGATCATAGCTCACTACAGCCTCAAACTCCTAGGCCCACGTGATCCCACATACCTGGGGCTACAGGTATATGCCACCACACCTGGCTGATTGATTATAGAGATGGGGTCTCACTGTGTTGTCCAGGCTGGTCTCAAACTCCAGGGCTCAAGTGATCCTCTCACCTTGGCCTCCCAAAGTGCAAAGATTACAGGTGTGAGCCCCTGCTCCTGGCCGGCCTTATTGCTATTTTTTAAAGAACCAGTTTTTGGTTTTAATAACTGTCTTTTGTTTTCCTATTCATTCCTACTTTTATTATTTCCTCCTCCTGCTTCGGGCTTGTTTCTCCCTGCGTTTCTTGAAGTAGGAATTTAGAGAAGCAATTTGAGATCTTTCTCCTTTCCTGATACTGGCATTGAGTGCTGTCTGTTTCCCTCTAAGCACTGCCTTGGGTGCGTCTGGCAAATTTCATTATGCTGTATTCTTGTTTCCATTCTGTTCTCTTTTTTATTTCCTTCGAGGCATCCCATTTGACTCGTGGATTACTTAGAAGTGTGCTGTTTGATTTCCAGGCACTTACAGTTTTCCTGTTGTCCTTCTCTGACTGGTTTCTGGTTTTGATGTCCACTGGTGTGGCCTCCACCTCTTCACACCACCCCACAGATGAACAGCATTCACATAACTTCCCAGTATCTCGAAGTAGCATCGTTTCCATTTCCTGCGTGTCTTCTCATTTTACTGCATTATTTCAGCTTTGCTTGTTTGAGCCAGGATTCAGGGCTTCCTTCATTCCATCTCTAGCTTCCTCCCCTTGAGTTTCCCCGTTCATGGAGTTTCTCTTGGACCCTCAGCAGCAGGGGGTCTTGTTCTTGACAGGAATCCCTCACACTTCCCCCTTGGCCTCCGAGCCCCACCACATCCTGCAGTTGGTGGTGTGTGGAGAGAGGCGCTGTCTCTGCTCTCCAAGCACTTTGTCAGCCTCCACCCCTCCCTCACTCCGTGCCTCTTGTCCGTGCCCGCTGGGACACCATGGGGCTCGGCTCGGGATGGTGGGACCAGCGCTTAGTAAGACCCCTCAGCCCTAGGCACCGTGTGAGCACTGCTCACGTGGCAGAGCTGGAATGGGGGCCGGGCACACACTCCCTGGCCCACGTGTTCCACGGACGTGCTGCAGAGGTCCCCGGCCCTCCAGGGCAGGCCCTCTCTGCTTCCAGAGGGGCAGGTGAGCCCCAGGCCAGGCCAGGCCAGCCGGGGTCTGGACTGGAGTGCAGTGGCCACAATGGACGCCGCGAGTGTCTTCATTAAGAGTGAGTGTCTCAGTCTCCCCCAGGGCACCCGCCAGCCACATGGCCGCTATGTGTGCAGACTAGACAGGTGGCAGCTCGGGCCGGCCAGACAGAGGGAGAGGAAGCCAGAGCCTGCGCGCAGGCAGCCTCATAAATATTTCCAGCCACAGCCAACGTGTCTTACTGACAATTTGCTTTTTAAAAAATTGCGCTCTAATTTTAAGTGAGCAGCCCCTAATTACAGTGATTTACGAGGTACCTGGGGACTGTGTGATATTTGAACATGGCAGAGGGCTGAGCAGAGATGGCAGAGATGGATGGGCCCGGTGCCACTCATTCAGCAGGTCCTGCTAATGCCGGAGTGTTGGACCGAGGTGGAGCCTCCCAATGCGGCCGGGTATGCTGGGGGAAACGGAGTCAGAGGTGGGCTGCACGGCAGGTCGACTTGTTCACAGGGGGCTGGTGTTTTGCAAACGCTGGGTCTGCCTTCGTGTAGGGTTTGAGCTGGGAGAGTAGCACTGGTCACTCCTGCCTGTCTCCGTCCACCCCCACCCCCACCTGGAGGGCAGTGCGGTATCTTAGGGCGTCATTCTTCCAGAGCCGCCTGAGGCCAGCAGAGAGGAAGTGCTGTAGGAGCCGTGAGTGGGCGGCCCGGCCTACCATTGGGAGCAGCTGTCTTGCTGATGCTGGCAGGGTGCACCTGTTTCAAATAAAGAATGATCAGAGATCACACCTGTAATCCTCACGTCATGAGCAGCTGAGGCAGGAGGATCACGTCAGGCCAGGAGTTTGAGACCAGCCTGGGCAACATAGCTAAAGCCTATCTATCTCTCAAAAAAATTTAAAAATTAGCCAGGTGTGCTGGCACATGCCTGTCATTCCAACTGCTCAGGAGGCTGAGGTGGATCACTTGAGCCCAGGAGCTCGAGGCTGAGTGACCCATCATCATGCCACTGCACTCCAGCCTGGGTGACAGAGTGAGACTCATCTCTAAAAAAAAATTGTTTTAGAAATGAACAGCCAGGCTCCCAAAGCCTGCCAGCCTCTGAGGGCCGGGGAAGGCGGGTGCCTGGAGAACAGCTATTCTTTGGTCCAGCCTGGCCAGAGTCTGCACCACAGTGCCCCAGGCCCAGCCAGGTTGCCAGCCCTGGGTTGGGAGGAGGGCGAAGGGCCGGCTAAGGAGACTTCTTCCCACACTGCCTCCCCACCCCTGCCCAGCAGCTGCAGGAGAATCAGCCCCTCTGACATTTAGGGGGAGAAATTCAGAATCAAGAGCAGAAGGCAGAAATGAAAGGATTTTCTCAGTGAAAGGTCAGAGTGGTTTCTCTTGTTTTTGTTTAAAAATGGTTTGTGTTGAACTATGACAAGGCCAAATGTACTAAGGCAGCAGAAACAGGGGGAGGGCAGGGGGAGGGCACGGGGACGGCTCCTGAGAAACAGAGGAACAGGTCAGGCCGCAGGGCCTCGGGGGCAGCACGTGCTCCAAAGGTGGTGAGGGGAGGGGCGACACCATCAGGGCAGGGCCCAGCCCAGGCATGCTCCGGTGGACAGGGGAGCTGCCAGGACCAAGCTGGATGGAGCCAGGCCGCCCTGTGGCTCCTGGGGAGGGTTCCCAGAGGGCTGCCGGGCGAAGGGAGTCCTTTCCAAAACGGTTTCCTGAGCTCTGATGCACACACATGCAGCTCACCCCCAAGTCTAGCGTTCCATTAGTCTACCGTTCCGTTCTTCCCAGCACATTCGGTGCGCAGCCGCGACCAGTCTAACCGTGGCACCTTTCCACCGGCCCTGAGCCCTGGCGTGCCCCTCCACGACATCCCCTGGGCACGGAGTTGTGTCGACAGGTCTCTGTGACTGGCTGGGCATGTTTTCGGGGTTTGCCCGCGGGGCAGCGTGTCTCAGAGTTTGGCTGTACGAAGCGGTGTTGACGGGTAAACCCGGTTTTGTCTCTCCCTCCGGCGGTTGAGGGCTGGTTCCGCGTTCCATCTGTTAGTGATGGGATCGTGTTGCCGTGGACGTCCGTGCCGAGGTCTGTGTGTGGACAGCGCTCAGACCCCCTGGCTGCGCGCCCGGGCGTGTGCTGGGCCCATGGACTCTGCGTTCAGCTCTTTGAGGAGCCGCCGGCTGTTTGCAGTGGCCGCATCACACACGCTCCCGCCAGCGACGCGGAGGGTCTGATTCCCCTCGACCCAGCAGCTCATGGTGTTTGCTCTCAGTGGCCGTCGGCGCGAGGCGGGTCCGTGTCTCGCTCAGTTGAGGTTCACGTTTCCCCGGTGCCCGGCGTCCTGGCATGAGCTCACTGGCCGTGTGTGGCTCTTCTCTGGAGAAATGTTCAAAGGCCCCTTGTTTAATCGGCCCTTTCCTCTTCATGGTGGAGTTGTGGGAGTTCTGGGCATATTCTGGGTACAGGACTTTTCAGGGACGTGGTTTGAGAGGGAGCTTTGTGGTGGGCTGGGTTTGTGTCCTGCCTGACCTGGGGCTGTGTGGGTGCTGACCGGGGTGGGGCTGGCTCTCGGGGGCAGCTCAGAAGGGCCTCTGTCCACTCCCCACACAGCCCAGGACTGTGGCACAGCAGCTTGCTCAGACCTGCTGTGTGACCTGAACCCTGTGCCTCCTGCCCTGTGTCCCCTGGGGCCTGCAGCGCTGTCTGGAAGCTCCTCCTTGCCCGTTCTCCAGTTACAGGAGGCCTCCCTCTGGGCTGCAGAATCCACAGAGCCAGACGCCCCCTGGGCCCCCAGCGCCCCCCTGCACAAGTGGGGAAACTAGGTCATGGGGCCCAGGCAGTGTGGAAGGCGTTGCAGGAGTTGCCCAGGGTGTGGGGTCCTCCAGCCTCAGTGAAGAGTGGCACTGGGGCCTGTCACAGGTGGGGGCACAGGTGCTGGAGCCCCCCAGGTGGAGGAAGGAGCAAGGTGGCAGCCCCTCGGGTGGGCACACCCTGCAGTGCCTGGGACCCCCAGCTGCCTGGGTAGATGACAGTGTAGACAACAGAGACCTTGCCCTGGGTTAATTCAGTCCCTTTAGGTGACCTGGAATAAGGCCTGGCAGGGTTGAGGACGCATCTACCCCTGTCCAGGTCCTCAGACTGAGGGAAGCCCCCATGGCTGGAGGAGCTGTGTAGGGAGGGAGGGGAGAGGGAGAGGCCTGTCGGGCTGACCGCTGTCTTGTCTCTTGACCGCCCCGCAGGCCACCAGGCCCTCGGGTTCCAAGATGCAGCTACTGGAGACAGAGTTCTCGCACACCGTGGGCGAGCTCATCGAGGTGCACCTGCGGCGCCAGGACAGCATCCCTGCCTTCCTCAGCTCGCTCACCCTCGAGCTCTTCAGCCTCCAGACCGTGGCGTAGCCTGCGCCTCGGGGGCATAGCCAGAGCCACTCTACTTGGCCTGACCTGCAGGTCCCTTGCCCCGCCAGCCACAGGCTGGGTGCACGTCCTGCCTCTCCAGCTCCACAGGGCAGCGGCATGACTGACAGACACGCTGGGACCTACGTCGGGCTTCCTGCTGGGGCGGCCAGCACCCTCCCCACGTGCAGACCCCATGCGTCCCGGAGCCTGGTGTGTGGGCGTCGGCCACCAGCCCGGGCTCCTCACCTTGTGAAATAAAATCTTCTCCCCTAGACACTCCCACTCGCCCTGTGTATCTGTGGCCTAGCCCTAGCAGGGTAGGCGGGAGGAGGGGAAGGAGCTCCCTCAGCAGCCGCCGCCATCTGCAGACCGGACAACGTTAGGGTGAGTCAGGCATTTCCGCTCAGGGAGTGCACAGGTGGCAGCTGGGACCAAGGGTGGCTGGGGTGCCCCCCCACCACCATGGGCTGAGGCCCCTCCGCGTAGCAGCTTCCAGCTCTGCCTCAAGGCCGGGCCCCAGCTCTGGGGCTTCCCTTTGCTGATGGAACCCGGATGGAGGCACAGGGGCTGGGGGGACTGTCCTCACAGATAAGGGTGCATCGAGGAGAGACTGCCCTCTGTGCCCATCTCTCCAGGGCCATAGAAATACATTCCATAGACCTAAGCAGTATTTGAATTTTTATAACAATAGCATATGTGTTTCTTATGTGATTTACTAGAAACAATTTAATTTCTCGAGTTGTAAAAAGGTGTATTTTAAACCTGTGTAAAGGTACCTGGAGATCATTGTCATTCAGAATAACAAAATAAAACAGCAATATAAAAACACAGATATTATCATAGTACAATGTTAAATACTATAATATTCAAGATGATATTAAAATTACATATATCTACATCTATATGCATATAAGGATGTCAATAAATGATATTAATGTCTAAAATTAAATTGTAATTTTTGCAGACCTCTGTGAATATATTAGAAACCATTGAATTGTACACTGTATGGGGGTGAAATTTATGGTATTTAAATTATATCTCAAAGTTCTGCTAAAAAATGAATGGCTTGATATTCTAGTGCTAAGGGATGGTTTTATTTAAAACATAAACTAATAGTTTCCAGTAGATTCCATTAAAAATATTACAGCCAGGATTTCCAGATCACACCCATTCCCACCTTTTTAGAATTTTTGACTATTTTCCAAAGTCTTGAATTCAATGAGGTGCAGGTGGAAGAAAGCGTTTACAAAGTCAGTGGGTTACAGGAGAGCTGGTGTGGGCTGAGGCAGAGTGGGTAGAGAGGCTCCTTTCAAATGGAAGCCTCTGGAACCCGCAGAAAGCAAGTGTAAGGTGGGGCAATCTTCTGGAAAGCTAACAGAGAAAGGCTTTAGACCCAACACTCCCATTCACAAACACAGACAGGGGCATCTCAATGTTTTCTTAAATCTACTCTTTCTATATAGACACAAGGAAATAATTAAAAGGGGATAATTCTGGTTTAGTTATTTCATTAAATTATCAACAAACAACTTTTGAAACAAAAACGGTAAAAAAAAGATAAAAGTGGAAGTCAATAAAATTATTATCTGTTTAATAATCTGTATCTGTGGCTCAGATACAGATCAGGCAAACCAACCAAGGATGAAGCCCCTGCTGTGGATGAAGTCTCCAGCTGTAGATGAAGCCCCCAGCCTATGGATGAAGTCTCCAGTCGTGGATGAAGTCCCCAGTCATGGATGAAGCCCCCAGCCCGTGGATGAAGCCCCCAGTCATGGATGAAGCCCCCAGCCCATGGATGAAGCCCCCAGCCCGTGGATGAAGCCCCCAGTCATGGATGAAGCCCCCAGCCCGTGGATGAAGCCCCCAGTGATGGATGAAGCCCCCAGCCCGTGGATGAATCCCCCAGCCCATGGATGAAGCCCCCAGTCGCGGATGAAGTCTCCAGACGTGGATGAGGTCCCCAGTCATGGATGAAGTCCCCAGCCCATGGATGAAGTCCCCAGCTCATGGATGAAGCCCCCGGCCATAGATGAAGCCTCCAGCCGTGAATGTCCCCTGTGTTCTCCAGGAGGTTTCTTGGGTGTGTCCCGCAGCTGCTCCGTCAATGTGGCAGCCCCGTCTTGCTCATCTGGGGGCATGTTTCAAACCCGAGAAGAAATCATAAGCCCTGTGGAGACAGTCAGTCAATATATTTCTCAGGGTTATCTGAAACAAAGAAAGATCAATTATTACAAAACATGGGAGACATTGGCTGCTCTACATCAATGCCACACATATTACTGTAGAAAGTCAACAGCAGCCTTGAAAGTGGTAGAACCACCCCAGAGAACACAATGAAATTATAATGTTTTATTACATAAAAATAGAAAACCTCAGTGTGACATGAAGTTCAATTTAAAAAAGTGCAAAAGATACATGGTAAACCGGAAAAAAAAACACGGCCAGGCATATCACAAAGGTTTTAATATACTTAAAATGTAACAAGTCTCTAAATATAGGGAAGAAGACTACCAACAATCACATGTAAGCATGTTAGAGACGTGAACAAACAATATAAAGGAAAAAACAGAAATGGCTTTTAATCTCATTGAAAAAATTTTAAAAATCACCTCAATACCACTTTAGAGACAAAATTTTAGAAGTTTCACATGTAACTATGTTAGTGTGGCTGTACACACATTGTTGCTAAGAAAGCCCCATTAGGCACTTGTGGAGAGGAATTTGGCAACATTTAGCAAAGTTGCAAAGCAGTAACACTTTGACCTACAATCCAACATCTTAAAATCCATCCTGAAGGAGACTGGCAAAAATTGAAAAGACTGGTGCACAAGACCATTGGTTGCAACATTAGAAAATGTAGAGCATACTTCTAAACTTGAATGTCAATAAAAATCATAATGCAATTAGATAATTCTTATGAATAAATAATAAAATGTGTGCAAACTGAAAATTGTGAGATGCAGCAAAGAGCATTATGTGAGAGCAATCTATAAGCTTAGTTGTTTACGCTGGAAACTCAGAAAGGCTGAAAGTTAATTAAGCATACAACTCAAGTTAGAAAAAAGTAGCATCAGAATAAATGCAGATAATGTAATGGAAGGATAACAGATGAGAAGAGAAATTGATGAAATAGAAAATAAGGACAATACTAGGGAGAAGTAACAAAGCCAACAGTTGTTTTCCAGAAAAGTCTAATACAAAAGTCATTAGTGAGATTTATCAAGAAAAAAGGGAAATAATCAAAATTCATATCAGAAATTCATAGGAAGACATAACCACAGAAGTAGCAGAGATTACAAAACAATCAGTGGATATTATGAATAAATATATGTATTCAAATCTACATATGTATTCATTATGTATGTAAACATATATGAATATGGATATCATGCCAAGACATTTTAAAATGTGTACAAAATAGACAAAATCCTAGAAAGTATAATTTTCTAAAATGAACTCATGAAGAAATAAAAATCCTGAATAGTTCAGTAGCTTCTATGTAAATTTAATCAGTAGTTAAGAAGTATCGGTCTTTGTCTCTTTCTTTCCCTTTCTCTCTTTTTCTCTCTCACACACAGAGCCCTAATAGTATTATTGGCTAAATCCAAAATTACAGTGGAGTTGTCATTCTAATCCAATTAAAATATTTCCATAAAATTAATGAAGGGGGCTACTTTCAATTAATCTGATGAGAATATTATCTCAATACCATACAAAAAATTAAGTACAAAAAGAAAAATTGCCTGCCAATCTTATTGAAGAGCACTGGCATAAACTCCCCAGAGGAGAAGGCAATGACCACGCCTCCAATAGGAAGAATCAATACAAACAAAACAGTGTGCACCCCAAAAAAGCATATCCTGACTTGCTCAACCTTATAGCCAATATTTAAAAAAATCCGGAACACACAGGGCCATGGGAGTGGCTGTTGGAGAAATTTTCATGAAGGAAGAAAGATTACAACTAAGTTTTAAAATGCTAGTTTTGTTTGTTTTGTCTTGGAGAGGAGGTAAAAGTGGGAGTAAAAATAGGGAGTTTGGTGTAAGGTGAGAAAAGCAAAGGAAACCTGCATGGATGGGCTGAAGGGTGTGATGGGAGAACAGTGAGAAGTACGTTTGGGGAAGCAATTGGAAATAGCAGCTAAGCTTAATCACAATCTATCAAAAGGGATTTGTCGAAGAATTAATGTGTGACTAGAAACAGGGAGGTTATGGGCTTGTCAGCTCGACAGTGGGCACTCAGTTCCACTAACGAATGATGCCCGTGTGGACAGACAGAATGATGGACAGGCAGATGAATGCGTGGGCTTTATGTGAAACAGGTCCTCTTGGTTGTTGACAAGATACTGTTTTAAAGTTCCATTTTGCCATACTTCGAATAGCTTTTCATTCGCTAAATTTAGCTACATGTAAAATCACTAAGGCAGACTTCCAGAGTTCCCACATGAAAATCAAATGTAAACCAGCTGTGACCTACTTCGACACCGTCATCGGAAGTCAGAAGTTGAGCTCCTTTTTGATGTTTAAAGCCTGCATAATATTTGCTGTATTACTATTCAGTGTATTACTATTTCCTTTGTGATGGAAATTTGGTTTGTCCCAATTTTCTATTCTATTAAAACACTGCTACATAGAAAATCCCCATGCACATATTTCTCCTAATTGTGGAAATATTTTACATAAAATACTCTAGACGTGGATGAAATTACCAGGTTATTAGAATTTTAAAATAGGTACTCCCAAATTGTGCTCTTACAAATTATATGAATTCATAAGCTTCCAACTGTTATGGAGTTACCCATTTTGAGAAATCTGTGCTAAAATGACCAAATCAATGCTGATGACAATGATCAGGATAAGTACACTGGGAAGACAACAAAATGATTTAGATCTTAGACAAGTCATGCTAGGTGTCTCCACTGTTTCAGTTCTTGCATTCATTCTTGGGCTTTTTCCTTTTACCAAATAAAATAGCTCCTTGACATCACATGAGTCCATGCTATGCTTAATGAGTATTGGTTAGTAAAAATGCCTATGACTAGTCATCTTCATCTATGCAAGTAAATATTAATTCATAAAACACTTCAAATGTAAGCAATTAATAATTAGTGAATGAAAAGTACATAATATATCAATTAGAAAAAAATCACTATTAAAAAGACATTATTTGTGTGATAAAAGAGATTGCCATTTTGTATTTTTCTACAAGGTTAAAGAAAACTAA
This sequence comes from Homo sapiens, assembly GCF_000001405.40. Taxonomy (NCBI): domain Eukaryota; kingdom Metazoa; phylum Chordata; class Mammalia; order Primates; family Hominidae; genus Homo; species Homo sapiens. Next base: position 111,693 of record NT_187632.1, read on the forward strand.
GTCAACGTATACAAGTGAGTTTTAAAAGCCTTTACGCCAGGCGTGGTGATTCATGCCCATAATCCCAGCACTTTGGTGGGCCAAGGTGGGCGGATCACCTGAGGTCAGGAGTTCGAGACCAGCCTGACCAAAACGGTGAACCCTCATTTCTACCAAAAATACAAAAAATTAGCCAGGTATGGTGGCATGAGCCTATAATCACAGCTACTTAGGAGGCAGAGGGCAGGAGACTCGCTTGAACCTGGGAGGTGGAGGTTGCAGTGAGCCGAGATAGTACTGTTGCACTCCAGCTTGGGCAACAAGAGTGAAACTCCATCTCAAAAATAAACAAATTAATTAATTAAATAAAAGCCTTTAACCTAGAATGCTGAGTAAATTGGCCAAAAATGCTAACCTATGCATTTCAATACTATAGGATTCACGTTAATAGAAATAACCAGATGAAATGCTTCTGGTATGTCACCTTCCCTACCCACATAAGCCAGTGTTTTTTTCTGTGAATAACAAAAACAGCAGAATTTACTTGCCTATCCGTAAGAAGTTACCACTTCTGTGTATTGCCCCGAAACAGGTGGTGGCTGGGTGAGAAGGGGGACAGCCCTAGGGCAGGAGATGGGGGCTCCGGTATCATGGGCGAGCTTCCTAAACCTCTGCAACTTTCGGCCCCTAAATGGGATGGGCCACATTTAGCACAATGCCCAGAACAAAGTAAGGATTTGACACATCACACTTTTCTCCACATTGTTCTGTCATCAGCCACCGCGACCTGCACCTCCCAGCCCACTGGGCTCCGGCTGTTTCCATCACATGAAGAATGATCCAGAGCCTGGCCTCCAGCCACCCTCCTGGCCTTGCTGCTTCTCACTCTGCCACTGACTCTTAACAGACCAGCCTGGGTGTCCTCAGACATACCACACCCTTCATTGTGGGAGTCATGCAGCCCTCCCTGCTCCTTCCCCAGGGAGCCACGGGGCTTTCCTCCTCAGGAAGACTCTGCAAGCACCTGGATGAAGGGCCCCCATGTCTCTCATCCTCCCTTAATTTTTGTCACAGCTCTCCTTCCTTCCACTCAGTGCAGTGCACACTGATTGATCCTCCATCTTCCCCAAAAGACAGGAACAGCACGAGCAGTAGAGAGTAGATTCCAAGGATAGAAAAAATAGCCAGTGATTTCTCATTTCCATTGATCATCAATGAAGAAAATGTATCCTGAAGGTCGTGTACCTCCTATGGGACTGCTGCATCCTCAGCCTCCTGAATTTCAGCCCAGCACCTTCCTCCCCAGCACCGCAACAGGTCAGGCCTTACCAGCATCCCTGTCTTACTGCCTTTGTGCAGAGCCAGCACCAGGACCAAGGGAGGCCTTGAGATTGTCCCTCCCCAAAAATTTGAGAAATAATCCTTTACGTCACCAACAAAGCACAGCCTTATGCATTGGTGGTCAGTCCCTCCCAACACCTCTGTCACTGTAAAGCTGGCAGCGCCCCTCCAAGGTTGGCCTTCCCAGACACTGGACCTCTAGGTGACAGTGTGTCCTTACCTTGAGGCCTGGGCGCCCAGTCTATCCTGTCCAGTGAGCGAGCTGTGGAGAAGGGGGGATTCCAGGTTAAGGGGAGACTAGCAAGGCTCCTGCTTTTATGCTGCCCTATTGGGAAGGCTGTTAAAGAAACACAAGTTGTGAAGCAGTGAAGATAGAACATGTTTTCATTACTTAAACCAATACATTCCACAGATGGAATAATAAGAAATGCTACAACCAAGCTAACTGAATCCAACAGCATATCAAAAAGATAATCCACCATGATCAAGTGGGTTTCATACCAGGGATGCAGGGATGGTTTAACACATGCAAGTCAATAAATGTGATACATCACATAAATAAAATTAAAAACAAAAACTCATATGATAATCTGAATAGATTCAGAAAAAACATTTGAGAAAATACAGCATTTCTTTATGATTAAAATCCTTCAGCAAAATCGGCATAGAAGGGACATACCTTAAGGTAATAAAAGCCATCTGTGACAAACCCACAGCCAACATTATCCTGAATGGGGGAAAGTGGAAAGCATTCCCCCTGAGGACTGGAACAAGACAAAGATGCCCACATTCACCACTTCTACTCAACATAGTGCTATTCACTACAGCATTGGTTGTAAAAGCAAGACTGGAAACAGAACAAATGGATACCCATAATGAGTGCTTAAGTAATTTTGGGAATAGTCATAGGGTGCAGTACTTTATAGCTCTGAAACAATACAGTGGATTTACATTTGAAAATGTGGAATGATAACTAAGGTGCATTGCCCAGTGATATGTGCAGAGGGGCAGAGGACTTTGTGTAAACACAATCACACATCAGCATGCATTCCAGGTGCATGTTTCTATTTGCACATAGATTGTAGAAATGATATGCAAGCAAAAATGTTGACTTGGTGTTTGGAAGTTCAGAGTGGAAGGGAAACTTCCTTGCTAACCTTTTATGATATTTAGAGTTATTTCTAACCATGAATATGTAATACATTTAGAAATCTTAGCTAACAAGAAAAGCCTCTGGTCCTGGCCTCCTGCTGGCACATATCATATGGACATGGTCCTGTCGTGCTAATGTGTGCAAACTGAGAAAAATCCAAGAATGGGAGTCTGCTTTTTTCATCATACAAATAATTGTTAATAGAAATAGTATGATAATTATTGCTCATTGATATACCATGAATATTCTATTAGATAATAATAAATTTCTGACATTTGAACTATACTTACACATGGAAATTGAAATATATGGATGAAATATTGTGGCTTATACAGGCAATTGTTTTATTGGCATTTTACAAACTGATCATCATTCCTCATGGCACGGGTCCATGTGATATTAAGTAGCTTGTTATGCTTGGGAAAGGCAGTGATGACCACAAGAATGACTTCAACTACTAAAGTACAATGGAGATTTCAACAATGTTTTGTTTAATATTTAAATATTTCATTGTGCTCCCAGGCTTTTTCTCACCCTAATAGCTCTCATCCATATCATGTGGGTCCCATTAATACAGATACCTCCGAATGCACCACTCTTCCATTATATCCAGTCAATTGCTGGTTACCTTGGGCCTACAACTGGGGGAGGGCAGGGGCTGCTGGCCACCTCCTCATCTACAGTAAGAGTCAATGAGCAGTTAAGTGGACACTGAAAACCATTTATCCTGCTGGAGTGAGAAATAAATGGTTTCTTTCTTTTTTTTTTTTTTTTTTTTAGATGGAGTCTCGCTCTGTTGCCCAGGCTGGAGTGCAGTGGTATGATCTCGGCTCACTGCAAGTTCCGCCGCCCAGGTTCATGCCACTCTCCTGCCTCACCCTCCTGAGTAGCTGGGACTACAGGCACCTGCCACCACGCCTGGCTAATTTTTTTTTTTTTTTTTTTTTTTAGTGGAGAAGGGGTTTAACTGTTAGCCAGGATGGTCTCAATCTCCTGACCTTGTGATCTGCCTGTCTCAGCCTCCCAAAGTGCTGGGATTATAGGTCTCCGCACCTGGCCATAAATGGTTTCTTTCAATAGGGTAATAAAATGCATCTTTTCCAAACTATTTATATGACTCAAGGCCCACCTCAATTTCAGATGTGATTAGCCTCAATTCCTGATTCTCACCAAGGTGTGTAATGTCATCCACGGCCCAGTGCAGAGGAACACAGGTGTTGCCGTCAAACTGCCAGGGTCCGATCCCGCCTCCATCACTCACCCCGGGAGCTCCCTTTAAGCTAGGAGTCAACAGCAAGGATGGAAACATGAGTGCTTTTTAAAGTCCTAAAAGTTTAGAGGCCGACTGTCAATTTCTCCTGCACCCCTGGGCACACACCGGGAGAACTTTGTCTCCAGGATCAAGTAAGTGCCTGTGAGAGAGTTGTGTCCCTCAGATTCTGTTCACCACAGGTGACACTCAATGCAACCCCAAACCTCTTCTGCACAATCCCAAGGGGTGCTGACTAATCCAACCCAAAGGCTGTGATGTTTGGCAGAGGCAGAAAAGAAAAGGCCAGGTGTTCCGGGAAAGATCACCTTCAAATAACACAGCACTCTCATAGCCCAGAGAGACAGTTCTTACTATTATGCCAATAAACCTGGAAAAGACCAAATCCAATTTGACACATATTTCCTGTTTCGTTTTGATTTCATGCCCCCTCCCTCAACCTCCCAAGCAGCATGGATACCCCGAAGGCCCCTGGGAACTCTCTCCCATTGGCTCTTACGTGGAAAGTAGTTACCTACCTGCAAAATCCTCGTCATCAGACATGCTCTCCACAATCAAATCTTTAGAAACACAAACATCAGGATAAGTCATTAGAGAGAGGCCCATCCACTCCTCCCACCCCAGCTGAAGCCCGGGTGCTTCACACAGGATCCCCTGGTGTTTCCTCTGGGCTCACAGATATCCCTACAGCCTCTCTGGACATGGTTTTATACTTGCAAAATCATTTGCTCTCACCAGACCCCAAATCCTCCTTCCCAAAAGGAGCCCAGAATCAGGTTTCTGTACCCTAGAGGCAATGTTTTTCCCTCAGGAAATGAGTTATTTCAGGGTACGTACCATTCTCCAGTGTCAATGGCTCCTGCAATTATAGAAAAGAAAACATTAGGGGGTGAAATGTTGCCATGCACGTCACACAGATCTGATATTCTCTCAACAACTTGAGAAAATTAGAAGGGGTATAGTGATTGAGTCAGAGATCGAAGTCCCCCAAAACTAGCACGGAGGACACCTGTGGAAAAGACAACACCTTTTCCCACAGAATTTATCTTTAAAGTGTATTTAGATTGGCAGTTTCATAACTCTTAATCCACAGGGGAAAACTGCTGTGGAGGGAAACACCTCTACATTGCAGTGGATCATGGATGCTGCCATCTACCACGCCCCAGTGTGCCCGGCATGGGTTGATGAGAGGCTGCCAATCAGTAGCACCACACCAAGGGAATTGCAGATGTCATAAATAGTCCACATTGGCAGATGTTCATGTCTACATCTGATTGGAAAGAAGCCAGGAAAGCAACATTTCTGTTCAAGACAAAGGAAAGTGTCTTACCTTGGTAGCATCTTTTTTACAGAGGTATCGTACAGCATCCTCATTAGTGATGTCGTATACAGTGTCCTCATAAGAAATGTCTTCTATAGTGTCCTCATTAGAGATGTCATGTACAGCAGCCTCATTACAGATGTCTACAGCGTCATTAGAGATGTCACGTACAGCAGCCTCATTAGAGATGTTTACGGCATCGTTAGAGATGTCACATACAGCAGCCTCATTAGAGATGTCATGTACAGAAGCCTCATTAGAGATATCTACAGTGTCCTCATCAGAGATGTCTACAGCATCCTCATTACAGATGTCATATACAGTGTCTTCTTTAGAGATGTCTTGTACAGCGTACCCACAAAGAGCTAGGAGAACACAGAGTAAAGGTCAGTGCCCTGGTGGTGAATCACCCAGGGAGCTTGCTTGGTGTGGGTGCCTGGAGGTGGCTGATCACAGCATGGGCCCAGCTGATGCTAGGCCATCCTCCCGGGTGGACCTGCACTAGTGAAGCTAAGGGACATGACTCAGAACACTTTCTGCAGTGGGAATCAGTTTCCAGGTTCAGATATGCATTATCCAGTGAAGTGGGGAAATATAAAAAAATAGAAATTGACAAATTCATGAAAAGCCTTCCATGAGTGCAAGTGTGATTTTTTTTGTTAACCACTTTACATTCAGTATGCATTCATACATACAAAATATTTTTGCAAGAAATCAGAAATTTTAATTTTTGTCAGTTATGTTAAATCTAACTTAGCTGTCAACATAAAGATTCTATCTCATTTACTTTGCGGTCTCCAGAAAATCTAGCACATAGTAAGTAGACCAAAATATTTATTAAATGAAAACACAGAGCAGGGGTGGGGGGCTGGTAGGCAGACCGAGTTGCACCTGATTACCTGGATGATAATAAACTGCACAAAACCTTGATCAGATTAATATTGAAACTGCCTTTTGCTCGGGCTCTTTTCCCTTGCAGAAGAAGGATGACCAAGAAGATGAACAGGGAAGAAATTAGAAACAGAGGCCTTTGCTTACTAGCTAAGGGTCACCTTCTATAACATGCAATAGTCTACAAGTGGCCTTGAACTCTGCCGTGATTCAGTGAGAGTTCCCTCATGTCTTCTACCCAGGTTGAAGTCCAGCGAAACTGTAACTGTGCTCTTTGCAACTTGCAAGACCACACTGCTTCTGCATTTGCTTGTTGTATGAGATTTACACTTGTTTTAAAGCAACATTTTGTTTCAGTTGGGCTGGTGGCCATACACTGCACTAGGCAGTCAATAGTGAGATGGCTCCTCATGGAGGAGGCTTGGCTTGAGGCTGAGGGTCTTTAACCCACATATACAAGAGAGTTGCCACTAAGGGATGGAAGCCAGGCTAATAACCAAGTGCCACACAGAGTTCCTATCTGTCCCTCCTCACCATTTTTGGCTGGCAGGATTTGAGCATTTTAGGGCTTGGGAAGATAGTATTACTAAATCTACTAAAATACATCACCCATCCTTATAGACTTTGGCCAGTTGCTGAGCAAATTAACTTCACAACTGAAGTGGGCCACACTGGCCTTTGTGGTCCCCCACTCCTCTTAGAATTTGTGAGCGTGGGGCCTACTGGAGGGTGGAAGTTTGGAGGAGGGGGAGGATTGGGGAAAATAGCTGATATTAGGCTTAATATATGGGTGACGAAATCTGTACAACAAACTCTTCATGACACACATTTACATATGTAGCAAACCTGCACATCCTGCACATGTACCCCTGAACTTAAAATAAAAGTTAAAAAAAAAAAAAAGGATCTGTGAGCTGACCCAAACACCTGGGGATCTTTGTGCTTTTGACGCACTGATGACTATGCCGGTCCGTGGGGAGATGAGCCTATAACTGCCCTGGGTTGTGTGACCACGGAGGCCACTTTATGATGATGGGCAGTGTCTGGGGCCTTTTGGGCTCGGTGCTTTAGGGCTTATACATGAATGCTGGACTCCCTGTGTGGTGGTGAACACCCCATGACTAAGTGCATGTCAGCGTCAGCACTGGCCCACACTCCTGGGTTCGTGTTTTCACTTTTTCATTCAGGAACTCCGGAGCTGGGGCCCCTCCCTTGGCCCTTCAGGTTCTCCACCTGAGCAGTGGGGATAATAAGGCAGACCCGGGAATGGCTCTGGTGAGGGTGGAGGAGTCACTGTACAGAAAGAGTAGAGCGAGGGTGGATTTCATTGTTAGAAGTGGACACTGGCGATTGGGCTGTATAAATGGGAAATCTCTCCTGAGAAAACACACAGCCTCACCTGTACAGAAACACACACATTCACACCACACGATGCAGCCTCACACAAGACACCACCAATCCTCAAGCACCCAACTCAGCACCACCCAAAAGGGAGCACAGCTGCTTCCTCAAAAATTGGCCATAACTTTTCCCTGGGGAATTCAGGTTTTTAAAAAAACACTTCCCCTATGCTTATTTCTATCACGATCCCAGGATCAGGGTGGCTCTTCACATTGAAACCTGCAAAGATGCCACACTTTTCTTGGCATCCAGATTGTTTTCTTGGCAAGTAATTCCAGAATACTTACCAAAACCAGGCCTCAGAGGGGCCACCCGCACCACCTGCAATACAGAAACAAGACTTTATGAGGGGTACGTCGTGTTGTGGATTGTTTGCACAAGGCTCTGTTTCTCTCAATGAATACTGAAAACTTGATCAGAAAGTGTAGTCAACTTCAAGGCTCCCCAAACAAGGGTAGGATACACACTGTAAAAGACATCAATTTCTGGATGGTGGATCTCTCAGGTCCACATAGGTTGGCAAGTGCAAAATACTGAATCCAAGGAGAAGACATTGCTTCCAAGGACAAGGACCCCAAGGACACGATCTACAACCTGAAGCCATCACAGCTAAATGTCATTTTGGATTACATATCAGTTGCTAAGAGTCACTTCTTCCACCCCCTCAGAAAACTGCATTTAATACCTGTCATGGACATTGTCATTTTTTCACATGTAAAGTCAGTTGAAAAAGAAAGATGCCAAGAAAGGAACATTTCTATTTCAGGGAAAGCAAGGCAACCTTACCCTCGCGTTGACTGGCCTCTCTCCACCTCCTCTGTCCTTGTGAGCTGGAGGCTCCTCAGAGGCTAGGAGGACACAGAGCAACGGTTAGTCATCGATGCTTTTGTTCATGAGTTATTCAGGGAGCTCTGCTTAATGTGGAGAACAGGACAGTGTGTGTGGATGTGTTTCATTAAAAGCACAGCTTGAGCTGCTGCTAGATAATCTTCCCTCGTGGAAAGACAGGCAAGAACGAGGAGCCGAGGAGCAAGAAATGGAGTCCCTGGCATTTTGCTGATGGCAACTTAAGGCAACGGCAATGAGTCAGTCTACAAATGGCACTGAAGTACACGCTATAATTTGATGACAGTCCCACCGCTCACACTGCAAGGTTTGAAACCCAGCTAAATGATTTTCTAAACCCTATAAAACAATATTAGCTTGTAGGATTGATGTCCCAAGACCATTTTTACCTCTGTGGATCCACAGTGGCTGTCACTGCAGTTATTATGTGTTTTAGCATTTTGCACTTGAACAAAAGCAAAGTTTAACAGACAGATTGGATTCAATTCTAGGCAAAACAGTCTATTGTATTTATTCACTAATCCTTTGTTATAACTGCTAATGGGAGAATTAGAAATACTGAAATTATATCCTTTAAAATTAATTAAAGCATAATTATAATCACACAATATTTTTTCATCCAGGCCTCCTTTTCTTTGTCGTGCATGCATAATTAATTGAGGATGGAGAATATCTACGCTTGTTCAGGCCAGCCAACATACGACAGTTTACTTCAAGAGAGGAGACATGGGTTGAATGCTGGTATGGTTTAACTCTGCAGCGCAAACAGCTGCAACAAGTGTGGTGAACTAATCACCAGATGGCCCTTTGCTGCTTTATCATTGTGCCTTATGTGTAGCTTGCGAGATTTGATTACGCCTATGTTTTGTGGTGATCATACTTTCAACTATTCCTAAAATACTGTTTCAGTCTTATCCTTTTGGGGTCAACTGCTGAGGATTTCATACAAATTAATGAAGTTTGTGAATCTACAGTTCTACACAAAGGGGGAAATATTTGCAAATCATTTATCATGTAAGAAACTAAAATTTAGAATACATGTTAAACCCCCCAAAAATCTACAACAAACTAACTAAATAAAAATCAGATGACTCTTTAAAAATGGGCAAAAGACTCGAACATATATTTCCCTAAAGAAGATACAGCCACAGATAGTAGCACAGGAAAAGCTGCTCAGTATCATTAGTCATTATGGAAATGCAAATGAAAAACACAAGTAGACACCAATATACACATACTAGTATGATTTAAAGGAAAATAAGTGTGAAGAAGGATGTAAAGAAATTGTAACCCCGATACATTGCTGGTAGAAATGGATAAAGTTGCAGCCACTGTGGAAACCAGTCTGCAGTGGCTTAGAAGGTTCAATATAGAACTCCCGTTAGACCCAGGAATTCTACTCTTAAAGAATAGAGAACAGAAATCAAACAGATGTTTGTATACTAATGTTTGTAGCATCACTTTTCACAGGAGCCAAAAGGTGGAAATAATCCAACCATCAGTGAACAAATGAATGTAATAAAAGCAAGGTGGTCTGCATGCAATGCTACATCATCCATCTGTAAAAAAGGAGCACAATTTTGATAGATGATACAACATGGGTGGACATTGAGAACATTATGCTTAGTGAAATACGCCAGACACAAAAGGAATATATTGTCTAATTGTACTTATATGAAGTGCCTAGAATAGTCAAATTCATACAAGAGAAAATAGGATAGGAATCACCATGGGCTGGAAATAGGGGGAAGGTGCTATGTTGCTTACGGTGGACAAGGTTTTGTAAGAAATCATCAAAATTGTGGGTGTAGATAGTGGTGTTGGTTATGCAACACTGTGAATATTTTGAATGCCACTGAGTGCACACTTTGGTTAAAAGGTTCAAATGATAAATATTTTATTATACTTATTTTCCCACAATAGAAAACACACACAGCCAAGCCCAGATGCCAGTCTTGCCAGCAGCCTTCCTTTGCCTTCAAGATTAGGCCATCATGCTGTACCTCCAACACACACCAAGGCACCTCGCTCACGCAAGGTGTGTGTCCTCCAACAAAGTTTCACACTCTAAACCCAGATAACTTTTGAAACCCAAGTTCTGTTGATCCCCTACTTCAGGTGCTCCATAGATGCTCCTTTGTCTACAAAACACTGCCTCAGACAATGAAATAGTCCAAAGTGACCAGCAGAATTTTTATGTTAATTCTGATATTGTGCTGTTAGTACAAGTATTTTTCCCCTTCAGATTTATGTCTTTGTTACTGATAAATGTAACTGATAATGCTTTTGTCAGCTATGTTGCCAAGCATATTTATATAAAAATATACTCTTAGATTGTTTTGAGAACTTGACAAAGATGATAGCAACAATGATAATCTTATTTGTTTTATACTAATCTTTATGTGTTACTTTCATCATTTCTTACATGTTGGGGCCTACCATACATTGTACAGTGAAATTAGTGCTATGCATCATGGTAAGAATATAAATTGGCAAAGCTAATTTAGAAAACAGTTCTCTTGTTTCTCAAAAAAATTAGGCCGGACGCAGTGGCTCATGCCTATAATCCCAGCACTTAGGGAGGCAGAGGTGGGTGGATCACCTGAGGCTAGGAGTTTGAGACCAGCCTGACCAACACAGCAAAACCCTGTCTCTACTGAAAATACAAAAAGTATCCAGGTGTGGTGGCGTGTGCCGGTTGTCCCAGCTACTCGGGAGGTTGAGGCACAAGAACTGCTTAAACCTGGGAGGTGGAGGTTCCAGTGAGCCGAGATTGTGCCACTACACTCCAGCCTGGGCCTCAAAAAAAAAAAATAATAATGACCAAAATGTCATTATGCATTACATGACTGCGTATGATGCTCAAAGTTACACTACTCACCATAGAAAAAAACAAAAATAATTAAATGTCCATTAACTGGTAAATGAATAAACACTATCTGTATGAATAAACACAGCAGACTATGAAGGAAAACACATGACCAGCACCTGCTAAAGCGTCAATTAACTTCAAACATAGTATGCTAAATGAAGGAAGTCAGATTCCAAATATATATATATGTCCATTTCTATTAAACAAGCAGGAAATTTATGGAGATGGAATATCATAGCAGTATTGCTTAGGGCTGGAGATGGGAGTGGGGATTAACTGCCAGTGTGCAAGAAAGAACTTGGGTGAGGGAAACATTTTTAAATTAGATCATGGCGATGGGTGCACACAGTATCAATTTAATAAAGCATCAAATTGTAGACCTTTTCAGTGGGCAAACTTTAGGGTGGGTTCACACCCAATATAGGTGTTAAAAATAAATTAATGTTATGGCAATTCTGGTTGGGTTTTTAACAAGCCAAGAGATATGCTGTTAAAGCAGCATTAATTCAAATGGTTGTCACAGGTCACTTAAAGTTAATCAGATAGTTGTCCTGTAAATATATAGCGAATGTTATCCATGAACTTCCTGAATCTATTGCAATAATCACATTTTCTCTCCATTAACCTTTTGAGTTAGCTAATTTTATTTATCGCATTTTCAATGTTAATCCACCATTTCATATTTTGAGATTAACGCACATGAGTCAGAATTCACAGTATTTTAAAATATCGCAGAATTTAATTTACCTTATCTGGTTTTGGTTTCAAGACTATACTAGCCATTTCATTTAATTGTACATGTAGGGTATTCTAATTTATGGAAAACTATTACATCTTTCTTGTTTTTTTTTTTTTTTAAGAAATTACTTCTAGGGATCTATATGGTAGAGTCCATGGAGAATTGTTTTAATTCTTCATTCATGTCTTCAGTGGGTATAGGATTGGTCATATTGGTCATAGTTTTGTGCTCGGATTTCAATAAGAAACTTGTGGAAGAACCTGAAGGGTGGGATCTTTGAGGGAGCCTAAGACAGAGCAAGACAAGCTAAGAAGGAGGGCAGTGCCACAGCAGAACTGCCATTGATGCCCCCTCGCCTAGATTGCGGAAGAGACATCCAGCTGTAGACACTGAGGTGCAGGAAAACAATGGAGCACCATCAGAGAAAGCAGTGCCCAGGAACAAGGAGGCACTGATGGTGGCAAGGGGCAAAGACAGCTGCCACGAGGCTGTTCACATGAGGGTCTCAGGCTGCATAGACACCCACACCAGCTGAGGGGTCCTGGTTTTCATAAAGTGTGTGGCTCAGCCAGGCCACCAACAAGCAGTTCACAAACAGTAGTAATACGACACTTTCCAAAGACCTTACTTGAGTAACACGGTGATCCTCACAAATTTCCAATCAGGATGGTCGCACAGTTCCATCTGCTTTAGGACACAGAGCCTGCCCGTGTCTGTCCTGTCTGCTGACCACGGGTCAGAGGTGCAGGCTGCACTGGGGAGTAAGAATGTCACCTTCTCAACTTTGGGAAAACTCCCTGCCAGAACTGAGAATGGCCCTTTCTAAAGAAGGAGGCTGACCACATCAGGTTGGCAGATGGCCAAAGATTCACTCAGGGAGAGCCCACATCCTGGGCCATCTTGGGTGGTGGCAAGATGAGATGGATGACTGCTTTTGCAACACATACCTGACAACAAAAAATCAACAACTGTAAGAGAGCCAGAAAATCTCCAAATATTTGCACATTAGCAATGCACTTTTAAATAACTCATGGGTTAAATAAGAAGTCTTAATAGAAAGTTAAAAATACCTTTACATTAAATGAAAATGTGACTTGACAAGATTTCTAGATGTAACAAAAGCAGTCTGTAGAGGAAAATTTATAGCATTGGATTCAATATATTAAAAATCACAAGATCTAAAATCAGTAATATCATGTTTCAATTAGGAAACTGTAGAAAATAAAGGAATGCAATGTAAAGCAAGTAGAACAAGTAACAAACAGCATCACAGAAGTCAATAAAATTAAAACACTGAAATCATCAGAAAATCATTAAAACCTAAAGCTGGTTCCTTGACATGCTCATTACAATGAATGAACTTCTATGCAGGCTAACCAAGAAAAAGAAGATAACACAAATGACCAATTTCAGAAATAAAAGAAGAGCCGTCTCTACTGAACTGTTGAGCATTAAAAGGATAATCAAGGAATATCATGAACAATTCTATGACTGCAGTTTGATAACCTCAGTGAAATGTATTAAGTCCTTGAAAGACAATTTTCCCAAGGTCAACTAGAATCCTAGATCATTTGAATAAGCTTAGGTCTGTTAAATAGGTTGAATTCACATTAAGAGCATTCTGAAAAAGAAAGCACCAGACCCAGATGGTTTCTCTCATGAAATCTACCAAATTCTTCAAGAGGTGAATAAAAACATCCACTCAATGCAATATTATTTGGTGATTTAATGTGCATTTTATGCCATTAAGGCATAAAAAAGACATGAAGGAAGCTTAAATATACATCAATTTAGTGAAATAAATTTATCTGAAAAAGCTACATAATATATGATTCCAACTATACGACGTTCTGGAAAAGGCAAAACTGAAGCTACAGTGAAAATATTAATAGTCGCCAAGCTTCCTGGAGAAAGAGGACAGAGATTAATGAGCGAGAAGAGGAGATTTTTAGGAATGTGAACATATTCTTTATGAGAACATAATGGTGAACATAATGTTATACATATTTCAAACTTCACATGTATGTGTAACAGAAAGAATGAACATTATGCAAATGATAGACTTCAGATAATAATGTCAATATTTTCTCATTACTTTTAGCAAATGTACCACATTAATGTAAGATGTTATGTTAATAATAGATGAAATTAGGAAGTCAGGGTGAGGGGACAGAATGATATGGGAACTTTGTGTATTATATGCTCAATTTTTTTTTTTTTTTTTTTTTTTTGAGATGGAGTTTCACTTTTGTTGCCCAGGGTGGAGTGCAATGGCGCCATCTCGGCTCACTGCAACATCCGCCTCCTGGGTTCAAGCAATTCTCCTGCCTCAGCCTCCTGAGTAGCTGGGATTACAGGCGCCTGCCACCACACTCTGTTATTTTTTTGTATTTTTAGTAGAGATGGGGTTTCACCATGTTGGCCAGGCTGGTTTCCAACTCCTGACCTCAGGTGATCTGCCCGCCTTGGGCTCCTAAAGTGTTGGGATTATAAGCATGAGCCACCACACCTGGCCATATGCTCAGTTTTTATGTCAATTTAAAACTCTCTAGTTAAAGAAATATATTAATTTAAAAATAATAATATAGCACCACTCTTTCAGGGAGATCTATGCTAATGTTTAACCATCAGGTAAGTTCTAGACATTGGCTTGAAACATTGTCCATCCTTAAACATGAACCAAAATTGACTTTTAAGTGGATATTTACTTTTGTGGTTGTAGCAATACTTACTGACTAAGCAAATTAGAATTCTGACACATTAAAAAATATGGCTTAATCTCTTCATAGATTCCTCTTACATATGGGACACTGAATACTCCCCACAACTGCGATTATTGAATCAACTTAATTAATGAACTTCCACAGTACCTTCTTGTGGCTGTATCTTCTTTCTCCAGAAGCCATGATGCCTCCAATGCTGGTTGGTGTACAGGCTGTATCTTCTCAAAATTTCTATCAGAGAAGATGCTGGTTAATGCATTTACAATAGAGAGGACTGTTGACACCTTGCTGACAGAAGACCAGAAGAAAATAGTGATCATGTGTTCCAAGTTTAATCTTATGATCCCGCTCTTTAAAGGCTTCCAAGCAGAGCCCGCTGAATCAAAGTTGGGTTTCAGGAAGATCATGGAGTTCACTGAGCATTCAACACCTCTATCAGACAGACTTCGAGGGCAGTGAAGGCTGACTCCATATCACACAGAGACAACTTAGATCTTTCTTCTCAGAAGTCCAATAGTCTTCAGAGGAACCCCCCATTCTTACACAACTATGTCATCCAGGTCTCAGGCAAAAGCCCCCAGTATTTTGTAAAATTTGAGCTATCACAGTTTTACTAGCTTTTATGTTATTACAAAGCTTTGTCCTCTTTTAGTACGGATTTTAGCAACAGTGACCTAGTTAGTAAGAAATAGAAGAAACTACTGGAAGAAAGCGTGGAAAGAACACACGAGGTAAAATTTGACCTAAAATGACCAGTCTCATTCACTAACCTCACCATAGTCTTATGGGTTCAATGGACCTGTCCAATCCTTTGCTCTGTTCTCTCCATCACCTTCCTGTGTAATTGTCCTCCACCCCACATATAATAGAAACATTGCACAGGGGAGCTAATCACCTCTTTTATCCCCCACTTCAGGCTCATGCATAAGTTTACAGTAAAAGCCTTTTCAAATGACTGCTTTAATTGCTGCTACGGCACGTATCATCAGTTGAATGGGAACTCTCATGTGACTTTAAGCAAGCCTTTATTGAGAGATGTGATTCAATACTAGGGACAGTATTCTAGTGTAGTAAATCATTGATTTTACGTTATGAAGATCATCAATTATTGAAAATGTATAAATAACGAAGCCCAGCCTTACTCTTCAATGCTGTGTGTGTAAATCCACTGAGCGTGCTGACCCCCATGCTTACACCCACCTGCTAACACAGGGAGGATCCATTCAGAAGGGAGGCACAGCTCCAGCACTGACGCTCTCCATGCCAGCTTCACAAGAGAGTTGCCATGAACAGACACCCAGATAACCACCAAGTGGTAATTTGAGTACTCAATGATCATGATCCCTAAAGTACGTAGCTCAGAGGGCTTGTGGTGAACTGTGGCCAAGACTCTAAAGCATCTCCCCAATTCTTACTGGACTTAAGCCATGTCTTGAGGAGACCCAGCTATGACACGCAGGCACCACATTGTCCTACTTAGTGCCTCCCTTAGTGTTTCAGAACCTGTGATTTGATCAGAAACATGGGCTTTCTATGTTGGTTTCACACTAAGGACTATGTGACACCTGCAGGAAGATGCCTACATAGCTACATTATAAGATCACTGAGCCTCTCTTATGTGAGGGATGGCGTTTGGGATCGCTGCAGGCGTGGGTAATTCCAGGCATAGAGGGTGCTGGAACTCCCTTGCATGGTGAATAGTGATCCCTTCACTGGCTGATAAATAGAAGTTGTAGTTCAGGCCTTCAACAATGGGACCGTATGAGTAAACATCTTGGCTCCTCACTTCATAGCAAGTGAGCTGGGGCACATTTATTTCTGTGGCTTAGTTTCTCCATCTGGTGTGGGGGTTCAATAAACAAGCTCACAACATATGGCCATGATGAGGTTTGAACTAATGTAAGTAAAGTATGTGGTCTGATTTGTTAAATTAAGAAAAATGGCCCTGAGAGTTGTGCTGGGTAAACACACTTTTTTCCTAGGGGCAACACACATAGACACACATTCACAAGCAAATCAAGCAGACTTGCATATAGACCACCCCACCCCACCCCTGCCTTAATACACACCCCCCACACATGACCTAATGTGAACACCACCTAATGTGAACACGTTTCCAGGAACTATACATAGGTAAAAAGAGTTTGTCACCTGGAAAACCAGTTTCTTTTACTATACCCCACATCCTCATTCCCACCAGGTGTCTTGGATCATGGAAGCTCTCCAGACCAAAGCCAGCAGTTAGGCTCCAGATTTCCTACAGAATCTTTTTCTAACAGCCAGTGAGTGATTCCAGAATACGTACCATTGATTGGGCTCAATGAAGTCACCTGTAACTAGAGAAGGAAAACACTCTGAGAATCAGGCTATGCTATGGATGGTTCGCACAGGTCTTTTGTTCACTTGGAAACTCTGGGCAACCAAGATGGGAAAGAATGTTCAAGTCAAAAGCCCCAACTCTAGAGTAGAGTTTCCTTAGGAAAGCACTGGAGCTTTTCTGGAAGGATGTTTCTATCTAGACAATTTTTGGGTAGCAATTACAGAATTCTTATCTAAAGTGGAAAACTTGTTCCTGAAGAAAATATCCCTTAACATGCAGTGTACTATCTGACACTGCCAATTGTGTATGTCCTCTGGAATCAGGTGTCAGTTGGTAAGATACACCTCCTCCATTGCCAAGGAAACATTATCTAACATCTATAGTGTAGTGGATAATTTTCCCATAGCTGATATCAACTGAAAAATAAAGGAACCAAGAAAACAACATTTACATCTTAGGCAAAGACAGGCTACTTTACCATGGTAGTAGAGTAGGGCTCCCTTTTCACACGCTTTTTGGAAGGCTTCTTCAAGTCACCTAGGGGATGTGGAAGGACACAGCATGGCTGTCAGTTCATTGGTGGTGCTACTCATGAATGACTCAGGGACTAGAACTTAGGGGTGTGCCTGGTTAACAAGCATGGATTGAGCTTCTTCTGGACCATTCTCTTCATGGACCAAGGAAGGCAAAGAAAGAGCAGGAAGGAAATGAGTAGAGCCCTTGGCTTTCCAGGCAATGGCAAATGAAAGCAACATGAAATAAACAAACTCCAAATGAACAAATACTAAAATACATGCTAGGATTCAACCACAGCGTCCTGTCACTTCTTCAGATGCTTTAAAAGCCCACAGGACTATCACTTCTTCTTGACATCTACCAAGTCCCTTTCAACCTCCACAGACCCACATACAGTGCTACTGCATTTATCATCGAGGGTCTGGGGTTCTGCTCTTTTTTATGTGTGAATTTTTTAAAAACTAGATTTAATTCCATGCACCAGCATTAATTATATTTATTTATTTTCTTTGTTATAAAAATATTCAGCCAGGTGTGGTGGCTCACACCTGTAATCCCAGCACTTTGGGAGGTTGAGGTAGGTGGATAATTTGAAGTCAAGAGTTTGAGACCAGCCTGACCAACATAATGAACCCCGTCTCTAGTTAAAAAAAAAAAAAAAATAGCCAGGCATGGTGGCATGTGCCTGTAATCCCAGCTACTCAGGAGGCTGAAGCAGGAGAATCCCTCGAACCTGGAGGCGGAGGCTATAGTGAGCTGAGATCGTGCCACTGCACTCCAGCCAGGGCAACAGAGTGAGACTCCATATCAGAAAAACAAAACAAAACAAAAAAACCGGCAGGGTGCAGTGGCTCACGCCTGTAATCCCAGCACTTTGGGAAGCCAACGTGGGCGGATCATGAGGTCAGAAGATCAAGACTATCCTGGCTAACACAGTGAAATCCCGTCTCTACTAAAAACACAAAAAATTAGCCAGGCGTGGTGGCATGCGCCTGTTGTCCCAGCTACTTGGGAGGCTGAGGGAGGAGAATTGCTTGAGTCCAGGAAGCAGAGGTTGCAGTGAGCCGAGATTGTGCCAGTGCACTCCAGCCTGGGCAACAGAGCAAGACTCTGCCAAAAAAAAAGCCCCCCCCCAAAAAAATCAATTATTAAAGATTAGAAAATACTGAAATGCTTATATTTTAAAATAACCACTATAACCGTACATTTTCCGTTCAGTCTTCCTTTGCCCTGTGTTTGCAGTCATCATGTGAGGGGCTACCTATGTTCAGCCCAGGCAACCCACAGGGAGAGAGGGCAGAGCGGGGAGATGGCCCCTGGTGAGCACTGAGGCTCTTCGAACCAGCTGTCAAGGGAGTTGCAACCAGGGTGATACATGAGATTAATGATTAAGTGGTATTTTGTGTTCTTGTCTTGTCCCCAGGTTGTGTAGCTCACAGACTTTTTTTTAACATTTCTTTAGCGGTCATTTGAAGTTCATAATGCCATCAAATATCAATAAAGGGTCTTCCCATTATTTATCAGCTTTGGGATATGTGCTGAGGAGTGGCCGAGCGCTGAAAGAATGTGATCGGTTGTCCCAAGTGCTGTTCTCCAACTCAAAATCCGCAACCAGTTCAAAAGCATTTGGACTTTTATGTGCCTTTCACATAAAGACTATGACATACCTAAGTTATTCATGTACTAATACCTGCCCTGAGCTATGTGACCATGGACACCATGCTATAATGTGGCTAGTGTGTAGGAACTCTGCAGGCTCAGATCATTCCAGACATACATGCAGATGTTGGAAGTCCTTTGCACAGTGACTCATGATCCCACAGCTGAGTGCTGAGGGCAGGTCAGTAGTTCAGAGCCTCAGCATTGGGGCCCTATGCTTGGGTTCCCATCTTGGCTCTTTTGCTTAGGGGCTCATAAGCTTGGGCACATTCATCTCCGTCTTTTTCTGCCCAGCAAAAGATGATAGTAAATCAATCATGCCATATGTCTGTGGTGATGGCTGAATGATTCAATGTAGGTAAAGTATACAGCATAAGTGCTCATGAGGCTTAATTATCAGTGAAATGTCTTGCTTTAGATTTCACAGCTTAATAAGGCTCAGAGACTCATTCAAGTCCAGGATTCTGAACTCCCAACCCATTGCTCTATGAAATACACCTGCTTGGCCTAAACCCAACCACTTTATCATAATTCAGACCCAGTTTTGAAAGAAGCAGATAAAGTTGTCAAAAGTGCTGTGTCTGCCTGAGTGCACACTCAGTGCCCTCCATGATAAATAATGGGAAGAACCGTTATTGATATTTGATGGCATTACAAACTTCAAATGACAGCTATAGAAATGTTAAAAAAAAAAAGTCTGTGAGCTACACAACCTGGTGACAAGACAAGAACACAATATACCACCTAATCATTAGTCTCATGTATCACCCTGGTTGCAACTCCCTTGACAAAGGATACCACTATCTGCCACAACGACCCAGTGGCCTGGCTGGCACAGACAGGGGCAGAGCAAAGGGCAAGAGATCCCTAATCCCATCACTATGACGATAGGGCATCATAGACAGTTCAGGGTGAAGGCACAATCCACATTGTGAGGTCCAACTGCTGCCATGTAGACAGGCGTGCTTTTACATATACAGGAAGGTCATTGAAGATAAGTGTTTTATATCCACGATCAACATATGAGATGACCATGAAATGAACACCAGTGTACTGGGTGGAGCAGCTTATCTATTCAGTCTTCTGCACTAAAACCTGTGAAAGAATATCATGTTGCCTTATTTACTAACAAATACAAGTGCCTCTAAACTTAGTTTCCAACTCACAGAACTGATGAGCACTTAGCTCCTAGAGAGAGCTCTGGATGATGGGTCGGGAGAACTAAGTCACACAATACATCAAAACAGCATTAACAAGTAAACAGGTTTTCAAAGCTTTCTACATGCAAACTTACACAATTATCCCTTTAATTTTTATCTTCATATATATGTATATGATCTATTTGTTTCTGAGTATAAATAAAACTGTATGTTCTTAGTTAACAGTCTCTACCAATTCATTCTATTTATCTTTCTGTGTTGAAATACTGCATTTCATTGGGAAACAAAAAAAAAAAAAAATTTGACTAAGACTACTCTGGAAAGGTGAGTAGGTTGGGTGATTGACTGTAATTGACAATTCTATGATTTTGGATAACTCCCAAAGCATAAAAATAAATGTTTTTTATTTCACACACAGACAATACGCATTCTTATTACATTTAAAATTGATATGTGAATGGACATGACTTACTACAAATTTATTAAACTAAATACACATTTCACAACAAAAGAAGAGAGGAAGGAAAAACATGTCAAAAACAAAGATAGGTACATTTTATTGTGTGAAAAGCCTCAAACCCATCTGTACTACTGTGGCTTTTCTCCAAACTTTTTGAAAGTAATGATTTCATAGGTTCTTAATTAGGTTAAAAACTACATTAAAATAGACTTTGCCATATTCTCCTCAAGGGAATAACTTAATTTGGGGCGGGAGCATTGAAGGGTGCAGGATGTAAAAGGAAATGATACATATTTTTTAAATGAAGAAAAAGTTCAAAAGCACCCTGCTTGATACAAGAATCAAATATATAAAATGAGGAATAAAACATAACCACAAAACTTATTTATAACTGCATATGGAAAATACAGAGGATAATTTTTTAAATAACATATTTTGAAAGTATTAACTAGTAATTTGAAAAGACAGCATTTGACAGGCCAGTATGAACATACCTCGAATGCAGGAAAAGTGGATCCCCATAAGAAAAATCAAAATCAGGAAAAATGAAAGCACAAAGGTTCAATCTGCTCTGACCTTCGAAAAACTCAGCACAGACAGTGGCACTTAAGACTGAGGGCAGGAGATCCCTAATCCCATCACCACGGTGATGGGGCATCACAGACATTCCCGGGTGAAGGCACAATCCACACTGTGAGGTCCAATTGCTGCCATGCAGACAGGTGTGCTTTTACATGTACAGGAAGGTCATTGAAGATAAGTGTTTTATTTCAAAAACTGAATCCCAAGCCTACACATTATTATTCTGTGTTTCTTAAAATAAGTTATGAGATGGGAAATAGGGTACCCCTAAATATAGCCAATAGTGAGAATTTCAAATTGAAGAGGGGCACAACTGATTATTCTGAAAACAAGCAGAGATTCCATTCTTTTTTTTCTTTTTCAACTTTTATGTTAGATTCAGGGTGTACACGTGCAGGTTAGTTACCTGGGTATATTGTGTGGTGCTGAGGTTTGGGGTATGAATGATCTCAACACCCAGGTACTGAACATGGTACTCAGCAGTTTTTCAACCTTTTCCTTCCTCCCTCCCTCTCTTAGCAGTCCTAGTGTCTATTGTCACCATCTTCATGTCCATGGGTACTCAGCGTTTAGCACCTACTTATAAGAACATGAGGCGTTTGTTTTCTGTTACATTAGTTCACTTAGTGGCTTCTAGCTCTAGCCATTTTCCCGCAAAGAACATAATTTCATTCTTTTGTAGCTGCATAGTATTCCATGGTCTATATGTACCACATTTTTATCCAGTCCACTGTTGACGGGCACCTAGGTTGATCCCATGTCTTTGCTATCGTGAATAGTGTTGCAATAAACATACGAGTGCGTATGTCTTTTTGGTGGAATGATTTGTTTTCTTTTGGATACATACTCAGTAATGGGATTGCTGGGCTGAATGTTAGTTCTGTTTTATGTTCTTTGAGAAATCTCCAAACTGCTTTCCACAGTGGCTGAACTAACTTACATTCCCACCAACAGTGTATAAGCATTTCGTTTTCTCCTTATCCTTGCCAGTATCTGCTATTTTTTTTTACTTTTAAAAAAATAGTCTTTCTGACTGGTGTGAGATAATATCTCATTGTGGTTTTGATTTGCATTTCTCTCATGATTAGTGATGATGAGCATTTTTTCACGTTTGTTGGCTGCATGTATGTCTTCTTTTGAGAAGTGTTTATTTGCCCCTTTTTAAATGGGGCTGTTTTTTGCTTGTGGAATTAAGTTCCTTATAGATTCTGGATATTAGACCTTTGTTGTACGCATAGTTTGTGAATAATTCCCCCCATCCTGTAGGTTGTCTGCTTACTCTGCTGATGGTCTCCTTTGCTGTGTGGCAGCTCTTTAGTTTAACTAGGTCTCACTTGCCAGGTTTTGTTGCAATTTCTTTTAAAGACTTAGTCATGAATTATTTCCCATAGGCCATGTCAAGAATGGTACTTCTGAAGTTTTTCTTCCAGGATTATTGTAGTTTGAGGTCTTAAATTTAAATCTTTAATCCAACCTGCGTAAATTTTTGTATATGGTGAAAAATAGGTGTCCAGTTTTTTTCTTTTTTTCTTTTTTTTTTTTTTTTTGAGAGGGAGTCTTGCTCATCGCCAGGCTGGAGCGTAGTGGCCATTTCGACTCACAGCAACCTCCGCTTCCTGGGTTCAAGTGATTCTCCTGCCTCAGCTTCCCGAGTAGCTGGGATTACAGGCACGTTCCACCATGTCCAGCTAATTTTTGTAATTTTAGTAGAGACGGGTTTTCACCATCTTGGCCAGGCTGGTCTTTTTTTTTTTTTTTTTTTTTTTTTGAGACGGAGTCTCGCTCTGTCTGGGTGCCCAGGCTGGAGTGCAGTGGCGCGATCTCGGCTCACCGCAAGCTCTGCCTCCCAGGTTCAAGCCATTCTCCTGCCTCAGCCTCTCGAGTAGCTGGGACTACAGGCGCCCGCCAGAACGCCCTTCTAATTTTTTGTATTTTTAGTAGAGACGGTATTTAGTAACATGGTATTTCACCGTGTTAGCCAAGATGGTCTCGATCTCCTGACCTCGTGATCCACCCACCTCGGCCTCCCAAAGTGCTGGGATTACAGGCATGAGGCACCACACCTGGCCTTTTTCTGTAATTTCTAAAAGCTTCTTATATCTGCAGGAATGCACAGATTGACTAAGTCAAAATGTTTCAGGGACTAATATTTAATAATTTATTAAACATTGGAAGGCCAAGGCGGGCGGATCATGAGGTCCGGAGATCAAGACAATCCTGGCTAACACGGTGAAACCCCGTCTCTACTAAAAATACAAAAAAAAAAAAATAGCCTGGCGTGGTGGCAGGCACACACACACACCCACAAAACTATCAAGAAGATTATTCAGAGTAGAAAAACAGAAAGGAAAACAGTCTGAGTTGAGGAGGGAAAAGGAAACAGGCATAGTTTTAGAAAAAAAGAAATGAGACGAGAGATCATGTGAAGACTTAAAGACTTTTAGGAAGAGATCTAAAGATCTGCACTAGAACAGTGGTAAAAAATCAAAGGGATGCAAAACCATGCAGAGAAAGATAATGAGAAAAAAATATTAATTGGAATCAGAGAACAAATTAAAGTTCTCATCAAATGGAAAAGCAGCCATATTTGGGGCTTCAAAGGCACTAAGGAAAATTTTTTTTTTTTTTTTTTTTGAGCCATCTTGGCTCACTGCAAGCTCCGCCTCCCAGGTTCATGCCATTCTCCTGCCTCTGCCTCCCGAGTAGCTGGGACTATAGGCACCTGCCACCACACCCGGCTAATTTTTTGTATTTTTTTTTTAGTAGAGACAGGGTTTCACCGTGTTAGCCAGGGTGGTCTCGATCTCCTGACCTTGTGATCCGCCCGCCTTGGCCTCCCAAAGTGCTGGGATTACAGGTATGAGCCCAAGACGGGGTTTCACCTTATTGGCCAGGTTGGCCTCGAACTCCTGACCTCAGGTGATCCGCCCGCTGCCACCTCCCAATGTGCTGGGATTACGGGCGTGAGCCATGGCACCTGGCCTCTTTTTCCCTTTAAATATTGAAGTCCCCAGACCCTCTTTGGAAAAAAAGCATGCATCACAAATGTTTCCTGTGATTTTCATTCCTTTTTTCTTTGGCCTGCATCCTCAACATTGGCAAAATAACCTCTAAAAATTACTGAGACACACCTCAGGAATTTTCTTTGATTTACAAATGTTTACCAAATTCAGATGCTTTGATTCAGCAAAACACAACAGCTAAAATCAAGGATATCAGAAAAATGTTGGATAGCTGGCCAGGTGTGGTGGTGCGCACCTGTAATCCCAGCTACTCGAGAGGCTGAGGCAGGGGAATCACTTGAACCCATCAGGCGGAGTTTGCAGTGACCAAGATCATGCCATTGCACTCCAGCCTGGGCGACAGAGGAAGACACCATCTCAAAACAATGCAAAATTCAAAATAAAAAATAAAATAAAATGTACTTTTTTTGGAGACAGAGTCTTGCTTTGTTGCCCAGGTTGGAGTGCAGTGGCACGATGACAGCTCACTGCAGCCTCAACTTCCCAGGCTCAAGTGATCCGCTCACCTCAGCCTCCCAACTAGCTGGGACTACAGACATCCACCACCACAACTGGCCAAATTTGTATTATTTTTTTTTTTCTTCTGAGACGGAGTGTTGCTCTGTCACCCAGGCTGGAGTGCAATGGCGAGATCTTGGCTCACTGCAACCTCTGCCTCCCTGGTTCAAGCGATCCTCCTGCCTCAGCCTCCTGAGTAGCTGGGATTACAGGTGTGTGCCACTATGCCCAGCTAATTTTTTTGTATTTTTAGTAGAGATCAGGTTTCACCATGTTGGTCAGGTTGGTCTTGAACTCCTGACTTCATGGTATGCCCACCTCTGCCTCCCAAAGTGCTGGGATTACATGCTTGAACCACCGTGCCCAGCCCTATCTTTTGTATATTTTATAGAGACAGGGCTTTGTCATGTTGGCCAGGCTGGTCTCATACTCCTGGCCTCAAGTGATCTGCCCTCCTCAGCCTCTCAAAGAGCTGGGATTCAGGCGTGAGCCACCAGTCCAGGCCAAAATACACTTTTGAAGTAATTTTGAAATATACATTATTAGTAACTATCATTCCTAATGAATAATAATCTTGCTGTGCAATACATCTCAAAAACCCACTCCTCCCATATAACTGAAATGTTGTACCTTTTGGTCAACTCAGAGAGACATATTTTACTGAATTTTTTAAATATCACAAAGAGGTCTTAGGAATCATTTGGCATCTTATTTCTGTAGATCTTATTCATAGACTCTTAGATCTTATTCATCAGCCTGCTGATCTGTTCCTTTTTCAGAAATGCAGATCATATCCGACATTTTTCTTTTTTTGTTTGCTTGTTTTTTGAGACGGAGTCTTGCTCTGTCGCCCAGGCTGCAGTGTAGTGGTGCGATCTTGGCTCACCGCAAGCTCCGCCTCTCGGGTTCACGCCATTCTCCTGCCTCAGCCTCCCGAGTAGCTGGGACTACAGGCGCCCGCCACAACACCCGTCTAATTTTTTTGTATTTTTAATAGAGACGGGGTTTCACCGTGTTAGCCAGGATGGTCTTGATCTCCTGACTTCATGATCCACCCGCCTCGGCCTCCCAAAGTGCTGGGATTACAGGCGTAAGCCACCGTGCCTGGCCTTCTTTTTGCTTTTTTTGAGATGGAGTGTAGCTCTGTTGTCCAGGCTGGAGTGCAGTGGTGCAATCTCAGCTCACTGCAACCTCCACCTCCCAAGTCCAAGCAATTCTCCTGCCTCAGCCTCCTGAGTAGCTGGGGACTACAGGTGCACACCGTCATGCCCCGATAATTTTTATATTTTTAGTAGAGATGGGTTTTCACCATGTTGGCCAGGCTGGTCTCAAACTGCTGACCTCAGGTGATCTTCCCGCCTCAGCCTCCCAAAGTGCTGGGATTACAAGTGTAAGCCACAGCACCCAGCAAAAAGTAGATTTCAAATGTTCTCACTACAGAAAAATGATACACTTGTGATGTTATTGATATGTTAATTAGCTTGATATTATCATTCCAGAATGTATTCACAGATCAAAACATCACACTCTGCCCCATAAACATATACAATTATGTTCATTAAAATAAAAAAATTAAAATTTTATCTTAGGAAAAAAATTAGTAAGAAGTCCCAGACTTGTAATTTCACCTCCTTAAACCTCAACTTCTTCACCTATAACAGAAAAAGGATAACTCCATTTTCCCGTCCTTTGGAGCTGTAAGACTCCCTTAGCAGAGGGGCTGTCCACGGGGCTGCTATTATTATTGCCATCAAGCAGTGGGAATCGAGCGGCACCCCACACACCACAGGTTACTTTTTTTTTGTTTGTGTTTTGAGACAGGCTGTCACTCTGTCACCCAGGCTGGAGTGCAGTGGTTATCCATGCTCACTGCAGCCTCAACCTCCTTGGCTCAAGCAATCCTCCCGCCTCAGCCTCTCAAGTAGCTGGACTGCAGGTGTGTACCACCATGCCAGAATAATGAAAACAATTTTTTTTTATTTTTATTTTTTGTAGAGATAGGGGTCTCACTATGTTGCCCAGGCTGGTCTTGAACTCCTGGGCTCAAGCAATCTGCCTGCTTTGGCCTCCCAGAATGTTGAGATTACAGGCGTGAGCCACCACGCCTGGCCACTGCTGCAGATCACTTTACCCAAGTATCACTCTACATGTTCTGGGGGTGGGGCCCATGACACTGTGCTTATGGAACAATGCGGAGGATTGGTTTCCAGAGAGTCGCAGTTTGCCTAAAGCCTGACAGCCAGGACTCCATCCAGTTCAGGCCCTTGCGTGCAAATGCAGTGATAGCTTCTGTCGCGGCAGGGAGAAGGGAGAGGTTCTTTCTGGTGAGAAAAAATAGGAGCTGGCATCTGAGCCAGCCTTAGAAGGATGACCTGGAGAACTGGAGGCGGAACACTGCAGACTCTGAAACAGGCCTGGGAAGGTATTTCTGGGGCCCAGGAGCAAGTGTCTAAGTAGATGTGCAGTGAGGGATGAGGAGAAGTACAGAAAAGTAGTTTGTGTTTTAAACTGTGGCCAGGCACGGTGGCTCACACCTGTAATCCCAGCACTTTGGGAGGCCGAGGCAGGCAGATCACTTGAGGTCAAGAGTTCAAGACCAGCTTGGCCAACACGGTGAAACCATATGTAAAAATATAAAAATTAGCCAGGCATGGTGGCACATGCCCGTAATCCCAGCTACTCAGGAGGCTGAGGCGGGAGAATCGCTTGAACCCGGGAGATGGAGGTTGCAGTGAGCTGAGATAGTGCCACTACACTCCAGCCTGGGCACAAGAGTGAAACTCCGTCTCAAAAAAAAAAAAAAAAAAAAAAAAAAAAAAAAAAAAAAAAAAAAAAAGATGATGACAGGGTCTCAAGTATGTTGCCCAGTCTGGTCTTGAACTCCTGGGCTCAAGCAATCTGCCTTGGCCTCCCAAAGTGCTAGGATTACAGGCATGAGCCACCTTGCCCAGCCCCGTGGTTATCTTTGAATCCTGGGCATACAAACTGGAAGTAAGCTCCTACCAGGGAAACCACTTGGCATTTAGGGCCCAGAAACAATCAGTTCTTCCAGGTTGACTCCTCCTGCGAAAGCACATGGGGCCGTGTAATCATTTGCTCGTGGTCCACCTGAAAATCCTGCATAACCCTTCCTAAGGCAGTGCCAGCCAATTTAAGCTCAGAAATGTTCCCTCTCTAAATTTTCCTCGCAGCACCTGAAGCTCCCCCAGCCCAAGGAAAACTGGTGGGTGACAGGAAGGAGAAGCATGACCTCCAGTGCACACTGAGTCCCAGCAGGGCCAGCTCACCCAGGAGCTGAGCGGGAGGGTCTCTCTGCCCTGTAGACACTGGGTTCAGGATCAGGAGCTGAGACCCCAGATCAGACAGACCTAGACCCTGGCTCTTCCTCTTAGCAGCTGTGTGAGTCTCCATCTCTCCAGTTATAGTGGGAATGATATGGGGAACCATGTCTCCATCTTATTGTAAAGATTTATAAAATAACCTATGTAAGGTGCTTGTGGGGAGAAATGGCTCAAAGGACAGTGCCTGCTCCAATGACGACTACGACTATTGCTTTTTTTTTTTTTTTTGAGAAGGAGTCCCGCTCTGTCACCCAGGCTGGAGTGCAGTGGCGCATCTCCGCTCACTGCAAGCTCCGCCTCCCAGGTTCACGCCATTCTCCTGCCTCAGCCTCCTGCATAGCTGGGACTACAGGCACCCGCCCCCACACCTGGCTATTTTTTTGTATTTTTTTTAGTAGAGACGGAGTTTCACTGTGTTAGCCAGGATGGTCTCAATCTCCTGACCTCCTGATCCGTCTTCCTCGGCCTCCCAAAGTGCTGGGATTACAGGCGTGAGCCACCACGCCCAGCAGATTATTGCTTTTCTAATCCATGCCACAGATCTTGACGTTCTGCCTCCTGCGCACACCTCCCAGCAGGCAACATCCTCCCATCCAGCAGTTGGCACTCTAGGCCTGTTCTGAGCCCCTAAGACTGGGCAGGTCCCCTGCACGCCCTACGCACTCTGGCTTTCTCCTTTCTAGCACTTTCCAAAATCATGATGAATTCATTATTTGGGTGGAGTGCTGCCCTCCAGGCAAGGAATCTCGTGACAGCAGGGACTGTGATTATTTCATTTGTTGCCATAGAACTCGGGCCCAGTGAAGGGCGTGGTGTGGCAGGGAATCACCGTGAATGCTGTAGAATGGGTCGTTCATTCACCTAGCCATTCATTCATTTACGCAGGGCTAGAGGAATTTCACTCTCCACCTCCGTCATTTACTTTCTGGGTGATCTAGAGCAGCATCCTTCTTCTCTTAGCCTCAGTTGCCTCATCTGTAAAATGGGGCTAGCACTGCCCTCTTAGAGTATGGCAAGGAGTCATTGAGATAATGGGGCTATGACACAGAGATATTTTGAGCACCTGGCATCTAGCGATTGTTCAATAGCCACTGGCTGTAGTAAGAGTCTTATTTGGCCAATTGTTATTGTTAATGGGCTCCCTGAAACTACAACAGGAGTTTGCTCTGTCCTTTCATGTCAAAATCCACTGGACTGACCCACACTAACTGACTACTGGAAAGGTAAGGAATGGCTGATAAAAGTTCTTTCTCTTTCCTTCTTCACTTCCTCCCTTCCTCCCTCTCTTCCTTCCTTTCTTTTTTTGAGACAGAATTTTACTCTGTCACCCAGGCTAGAGTGCAATGGTGTGATCCAGCTCATTGCAAGCTCCGCCTCTCAGGTTCATCAGTTCTTTTGCTTCAGCCTCCTAAGTAGCTGGGATTACAGGCATTTGCCACCATACCCAGCTAATTTTTTGTATTTAGTAGAGACAGGGCTTCACCATGTTGGTCAGGCTGGTCTCGAACTTCCGACCTCAGGTGATCCACCCACCTCGGCCTCCCAAAGTGCTGGGATTACAGGCATGAGCCACTGTGCCCAGCCAAGCTAATATAGTTTTTAAATGTTTTGTAGAATCGCAAGGACAAAAAACCAAACACCACCATGTTCTCACTCGTAGATGGGAATTGAACAATGAGAACACATGGACACAGGAAGGGGAACATCACACTCTGGGGACTGTTGTGGGGTGGGGGGAGGGGGAAGGGATAGCATTAGGAGATATACCTAATGCTAAATGATGAATTAATGGGTGCAGCACACCAGCATGGCACATGTATACATATGTAACAAACCTGCACATTATGCACATGTACCCTAAAACTTAAAGTATAATAATAATAATAAAAATAAATAAAATAAAAATAAAATGAAATAAAACTTCAAAAAAAAATGTTTTGTAGAGACAGGGGTCTTGCTATGTTGCCCAGGCTGGCCTTGAAATCCTGGCCTCAGGCAATCCTCCCAAAGTGCTGGCATTTGTCATGAGCCACCGAATCATTCATTCATTCATTCATGCACAGTGAATCCACAAACGTTTTCCAAGTGCCCTCCAGGGGCCGGGCCCAGGACTAGGTGCTGTGGTTGGAAGCAGAAAGGAGAGTCCTGGGCTGAGAGGAAGCCATCAGTTTATCCTCTGTGCCAAGGGAAGTGGCTGAGCCCTCTACCCACATCCTGTCACCCCCACCCCTGCACTGGCTGATCTGTCTCTGTCCTTTTCCTGAACCTCTTTCATCCTGGCCTGGGCAGGGGGCTCGGCACCCCCACCCCACCGTTCAGCCATTTCCTGCCCTTCTGTCATCTGCTTCCTTTGATCCTTTTGTCAGAAGACTCTTGGAAGCCTCTAAGCCATTGGCAACCCCGTCTGCTGGGCTGGGGCTGGTGACCCCACAGGGGCTGGGACCAAAGTGGGCTTCTCTTGGGATCCTGCTCTGGGAGGCAGATGGATTCTGGCCACATTCATTCATTCGCTCATTCACTTTTTCATTCGCAGGTTCCAGGCTTTGTGCTGGGCCCAGGGACCACAAAGTAAGCAAGAGAGCCATCGTCCCTGCCCTCATGGAGCTCCAGCCCAAGGGACAGCAGCTTATCCTACGCCAAGGGGCTCCTCTCAAAATTCCCACAGCAGTAGTGATCTAAGGACCTGGGCAGGGGCACTGGACTTCAAGTCTCAGCCTCTGGTGAGTGTCTTTACTCCCGAGCCCCAGTTCCATACGTGGGTACTTGCGGAGGGGCTGGACTTCACATTCCCTAAGGCCTTCCAAGCTCAAAGACTGAGAAGATGCGGTGTGGCCAGGACCCTCCTAGAGTGAGCTCCCTGGATGCAGGAAGGGGGCCCTGGGCCCAGCAGAGAGGCAGGGTGAGGAGGCCAGAGGTGTGGGGAGCCCAGTTTGACAGGAGATGGAATACACAT
Source organism: Homo sapiens (assembly GCF_000001405.40). NCBI lineage: Eukaryota > Metazoa > Chordata > Mammalia > Primates > Hominidae > Homo > Homo sapiens. The sequence goes on from NT_187632.1 coordinate 142,741, forward strand.
TATTTTAATTTTTTTCTTTTTTGTTTAATACTGTTGATGCAACAGTAAGAATACACATTGTTGATCAGAAAGTGAACAGAGCCTTAGCCCCAAATACAACAAGCCTCTTCTCTTTATCTTGTATGGGGTCTCCACAGCCAGCTCAGGACAGGAGTTCAGTCGATGCTGGGAAGGGGCTAGCATTTATTGAGCACTTACTATGTGCCAGGGATGCTGGGCTGAGCTCTTTATGTCAGGCATGAATCCATGGAATCCCTACTCTGGTCCTATGAAGCAGATAGAATCATTCTTCCCATTTTACAGATGAGAACAGGGAGGCAAGGAGAGATGAAGGTTGCCCAGGGCCCCATAGATTGCAGGTAGCACAGCTGGGTTTTGAACCCTGTTTGCCTGGCTTCAGCCCACACACTGTTCTGTCCCCTGGTGACTGAATGGGGGGACCTCCAGGCATCAGGATGCTGAGCTACACAAGGTAGCAGACTTGCCCTTTCTGGGGTCTGCCTCAGTAGTTCCAGCCGAATGTCGGGGTGGTTCACCCCCTTTCCCCCAGAGAGTGGAAAACAGTCAGAGAAGAGAGCAGAGGCCCATCTGCCACAGGAAGTCCTTCAGAGGACTGCAGTAGGGACTCTTAGAGTGGCTTCCCCTCTGACCCTCCGGGGCTCTTGCAGTCCCAGCAAGGCTGGCACCAGTTCCTTCAAGCCCTTTTGGGAATTTCCAGTAGCTGAGCTTCTCCCAGTTCTTAGTATGATGAACTCCTATACAGCCCTCAATGCCCTGCTCAGGTGCCCCTCAACCTCCCTAGAAGGACTCGATCCCTCCTCCCTCTGGATGCCCTCCTCTTCATCTGATACCCTTTCCTGTCCCACACTGCGACTCGTACTGTGGAAACCTGCAAATGTGTCCTCATTGTTGATAGCACAGCACTACCAGCCTCTTCCATCCAGCATTTTTCCTGTGCCAGGCCCCATGCCATGTGCGTGACAACCCTCACCAGCCCCTGGGACTGTTCTTACCCCCACTTTACAGATAAGCAAGTTAAGTCACAAAAACACTTAGGTGTCTTATCCAGTGATCCAGGGAAGCCAGGCACCGTGGCTCACACCTGTAATCCCAGCACTTTGGGAGGCTGACAAGAGCCGATTGCTTTCGCCTAGGAGTTTGAGACAAGCCTGGGCAACATGGCAAAACCCCATCTCTATGAAAAATACAAAAATTAGCTGGGTGTGCTGGCACATGCCTGTAGTCCCAGCTACTGAGGAGGCTGAGGTAGGAGAATCACCTGAGCCTGGGGAGGTCAAGGCTGCCATGAACTGTGATTGCGTCACTGCACTCCAGCCTGGGAGACAGAGTGAGACCCCATCTCACAAAAACAAAACAAAACACAAAACTGCGACCCAGGGAACAACCGCAGGGAGTGCTTGTCCTGCCCACGCCTGGATTTTTAGCCCCTTCCTTAGTGTCTACCTTCTGGCCTCCTGGGTTTTACTGCCTCACAACAGGCCCTATATATATATATATACACACACATATATACATATATACATATACACACATATATATACATACATATATATACATATACATATATATTTTTTTCTTTTTTGAGACGGAGTCTCACTCTGTCACACAGGCTGGAGTGCAGTGACGTGATCTCACCTCACTGCAGCCTCTGCCTCCTGGGTTCAAGCGATTCTCCTGCCTCAGCCTCCTGAGTAGCTGGCAGTATAGGTGCACACCACCACGCCCAGCTAATTTTTGTATTTTTAGTAGAGACGGGGTTTCACCACGTTGGCCAGGCTGGTTTTTGAGCTCCTGACCTCCAGTGATCCACCCACCTCGGCCTCCCAATGAATAATTGTTGAATAAATAAATGATTGAAGAGTCAATTTTCTCCAAGTTGCTTCTGGCTGACTTGTCCCGCCCGAGACCACACAGCTCCCCATGGATTTGGGTCCCACTGGGTGGCAGAGTCAAAAAGCCCTGCCTCGCCTCAGCCTGGACTCGCTTGTGACCTTGGTCAGAGGGAGCAACATCTCTGGATTTCTTTTCTTCTTCTGTGTAGGAGTCCCTGCCCAAACCACATCATCTCTCTCTTGTGATGCTCAGACCAAGGAGCAAGCAATGGGGTGGGAGGACCTCCAGTTCCTGGAAGGAGCAGGGGGTGCTTCACACACACTGCGGCGAGGCTGAGACCACGTTCTCAGGGGAGGAGGGTGGCTCTGGGCCTCACGACCTCACACCTTCCCTGTAGGTACCCAGCTATGCATCCCCGCCCAGGTGCAGCTTGTGTTGGAAAAGGGTCCCTGCCATCCGGAGGCCCCAGAGCCCCGCCCACCCTACTCTGGTTGCAGACCCTTCCCGCATCTTTGGCAGCCTCGCCACCCCTGGGCACAGCAGGAGCAACCCCAGTGCCTGGGGATGAAGCACCTACTGTGCTTCAGGCCTTCCTGGAGCCCCAGCTCATTGACTAACAGTGACCTCCTGGGGCAGTCCTGTTTTTATCCCCACCTGGTGGGTGGGAAAACAGGCTCAGAGGGGCCAGGTCCCCAAGTGTCACAGCTCCCAGGAGCATGACAAAAATTGCATGGGGAAGGAGGAGGATTTGCTAAATGCCCATTCCTGGCATTCCTGCCCCCCCACCCCCACCCCCCATCGGCAGAATGAACCTCTGGGCTGGCAGGGAAACCGCAGTTTTCCTCAGGTGCACTCTGCTCCGGGGAGTTTCATGTAACCTGTCGTCCATGGAGGCACAGAGAAGAAAGGGCCAGGGCCAGGGCCCCACAGCAGGAAAGGGCCAGGGCTAGGACCTTGGCCTCCAGGCTGGCGGACTTGGCACATCTCAACAGCCAGCGACTCTGTCCCCATGCCAGGATCTGTCCCCTGGCTTCCTCCTCCTTACCCATGGGGAAGGACGCATGGCTGGACTCAGGCAGTCTAGACGCGTGTGCACATGTGCACACAAACTAGACACAGTGTCACACCGGTGCACACTGTCCACACGCACACGCACAGGTACACTGTGCACACACACACTAGACACAGTGTCACGCCGGTGCACACTGTCCACACGCACACAAACAGGTACACTGTGTGTGATGGTACACCATCCATTCATTTTATTTCTATTCTGAGCCTTGCTCTACACCTTTTGGTTCTGAAACATATGCTTCTGTGAGCTGGCTGCTGATGCTGTCCCTGTGGAAGTCACCAACTCCCACCCCTGGCTTAGCACACCAGTTCTGACAGGTCCCACCAAGGCTGCAACTCCCACATAAGGAGTTCAGCTCCCCTCTTCCCGCCTCACCTCCACTTGGGTGGGAATTGGACTCTGGGTTCTTTTCCTTCCTTTCCCGAGTCACTTCACTTCTCCACCTGGGTATTTCAGTCCCGAGAGAGGCCTCAAAAATGTGGAAAAACAAGCCACTAGCCCACTCTCAGAGCCTCACCAACCTGCAAAGGGACATCGATTATCAGGGCACAGGGGAGAATGCCATGGGCATCTGAGCCAGTCCTGGGACCAGGCACTAGCAGGACAAGCTGGGCTGGAACTGGGCGGCCTCCGCATCTGCTTCCGGCCTGCTGTGTGGCCCTGGACAACGGAGAAGTAAGAATAATCGCCCCTGTCCTTCTGAGGGTTGGAAGGGAAAACATGGAGGCTTTAGACAAGGTGACAGCCCTTCAACCCTTCAGTGACAGGGAATAGAAAGCCCTGGGTGGGGAGAGGGAAGTGGGGGAGGAGAAGGAAGGTGGAGGGGAGAGGGAAGGGAGGGGAGAAGAGGAAGGGACTGACTTCCTTGAGTACCTACTATGTATCTGCAAGGTAGCAGGTGTTCCCATCTCTTCATCTCACTGGATTCCCCAACAACTCTACGCAGCTGGTATTCTCTCCCCTAGCACACATGTTTCACTGATGGGAAAGCCGAGGCTCAGAGACGGCCAGCAACTTCTCCAAGGTCACACAGCTTTCACATGCTAGATCTGGGACACCAGCCCAGGCACCTTGGTCTGACTCCAGAGTTTGGCACCTTTGCCCATGTCCCTACCCTGAGCATCTCCCCCTGAAGGTGACGGCAGGGCAGAAAGCGCCGTCAGCACTCGCCTCTTAGGCAGCTTTGGAGGTTCATGCAGCCATTCAGTTAACAAATACTTATCCACTCCCTCTCTGGGTTAGGCCCCTCCCCTCCTTCTTGGGGCTCCCTGGTGGGGGCTGCTGTAGGGACTGATCTCAGCTGGCAAAGCCCTGCTTCACCCAGGCTCAAAAAATAGTCCTGCTGCTGTCCAGCCTGAAGAGTGGGGGCCACAGGCTCCCAGAACCAAGGCTGGGGAGGCAGGAGGCAGAGCTGTGAGCTCGGAGCAGGCTCCATTAGCATGGGGCTCCAGCCTCCTAGCTTAAAGATCGCCTCGGGTGCTCTCTTAAAGAGGTTAACGTTGCAGCTGACAATTGGGAGATCTGGCAGCTGATCAAATCGGCTCTGAAGATCCTGGCAGCTGAAAATGGGAGCTGCTGGGTGGGTGGGTGGGGTGGGCACCAGGCAGCAGAGACCCGCACTGGCTGGGCCGACTGGGGCCCAAGGCAGCAGGGCTCAGGTGGCTGGTTGCTGGCTACGGCTGTGCCTTCAGTCTGGCCCAAGCCATCTGGGTATCCTGTGCTTTGCTGGAAAGACATGGGAGGAGGAGAAGGAGGAGGCAGAAGGCGAGAAAGGAAGCAGGAAGAAAATGGACTTGTAGAGACTTGAACTTCTTTCATCCCCAAACACCAGGTTCTCGCCAGTAATCAGACCAGTTGGCAAAAAGGCACCCACAGGTGAAGAGTTGTGGGACAGGGGTAAGATGGAGGGAGGTTCCTGGTGCCAGTTACATCTCTGCAGTGCCCAGTGGGTCCCTTTCAGTGTAGGGTGTACTCTGAGGAAGCTGAGAGGTCTGAGGAGGAGTCAGGAGAGGAAGATTCCTACTCATTCCGCCCATCCACATTGCGGGGAATGTAGAGATAGGGCACACCTCGGCCTGCCTGAGCCAACCTTGTCTCCTTTCCATGCATCCACCCTGCCACCCACCACCTCCACCCACCACCTCCACCCACCACCTCCACCCACCGCCTCCACCACCCGCCACCTCCACTCACCACCTCCACCCACCACCTCTGCCACCCGCCACCCGCCACCTCCACCACCCGCCATCTCCACCCACCACCTCCACCTCCACCCGCCATCTCCACCCGCCACCTCCACCACCCACCATTTCTAACACCCACCACCTCCATCCACTGCCTCCACCTCCGCCACCCACTGCCTCTGCCACCCACCGCCTCCACCACCCACCACCTGCCCTTTCCTCTGTCCAGCCCACTCCTCCCCTGCCCTTCCACCTGCCCAACCTGCCTGTGTGCCCTTCCATCCATCATCTGCCTATCTAGATCTCCAGTCACCCCCCGTCTATTCATTCATTAATTCATCCATTCACCTTGCATCCCCATCCCTCCATCTCCCATCCTCCATCCCCCATCCCCCTATCCCTATCCCCCATCCCTCCATCCCCCATCTCTCATCCCCCATCCTTCCATACCCTGATCCCTCCATCCCTCTATCTCCCATCCCCCTCCCCCTCCTTCCATCCCCCATCCCTCCATCCTCCCATCCCCCACCCCTCCATCCTCTCATCCCCCATCCCTCCATTCCCTATCTTCCCATCCCCCATCCCTCCATCTGCCATCCTCTAATTCCTCCATCCCCCATCCCCCATCTCCCATCCCTTCATCTTCCCATCCCCATCCCTCCATCCCCCATCCTCCATTCCCCATCCCTCCATCTTTCAATCCCCCATCTTTCAATCCCCCATCCCTCCATCTGCCATTCCTCCATCCTCCCACCCCTCCATTCGCCATCCCCCATCTCATCATCCCCCATCCCTCCATACTCCATCCCTCCATCCCCCATCCCTCCACTCCATCCCTCAATCCCTCTATCCTCTATCTCCCCTCCTTCACCCCTCCACCCCTCCATCCCCTGTCCCTCCATCCTCCATCCCCAATCCCTCCATCCCCCATCCTCCCATCCCCCATCCCTCCATCCACCATTCCCATCCCTCTATCCCTCCACCATCCCCATCCCTCCATCCCTCCATCCCTCCATCCCCCATCCCTCCATCCATTCATCCTTCCATCCAAAGAACATTTCTTCAGCATAGGAGAGGTGCACCCAGCCCAGTTTCGGGGCTAGGAAAGGCTTCTAGGAGGAAGAAACCTACACTGAGACAGGAGAATGAGTTGGAGACACCTGGGCTAGCGGGGAAGGGAAGGTATTCCCAACAGAGGACAAGAGGCAAGAGGCCTCTTGAGGACCATCCAGTCACATTCTGGCAGTCACTTCAGAGGGGGAGGCCCACCAGAGCACAGGAGAAGCTACTGAGGCTGGAGTGGGCAGCAAGGTCAGGCTGTGGAGCTGGGACAACCTGCCCGGCACAGAGCAGGGCCACGCGAAGAGGGAACGTGGAAGGTACGGAAGCCAGGTCCTTGTCCTCCAGCTGTTTACCACTGACCCTTCCAAATAGGCCTGTCACCCACATCCCTCCAGGCTCCCTAATCCTTTGAACTCCCAATATGCTCATAGTTAAAGCCTACAGTTCCACCCCTGCAGGCTTTTTGTTGCTGTGTGTGGATTCCAGCTTTGGGCAGGGCTGTGCCTTATCCTTCTTGGTGTCCTGCTCCATGGACTCGGCCAGATACCCCCAAATATTCAAGAGATGAAAAAATACAGGTGGCCAGGCACAGTAACTCATCTCTGTAACCTCAGCACTTTGGGAGGCTAAGGTGGGAGGATTTCTTGAGGCCAGGAGTTTGAGACAAGCCTGGGAAACAAAGTGAGAACCTGTCTCTCCATAAAAACAAACCAACAAACAAAAACATACAAAAAATATGAAACCTCCCCGTAAAACTTCCTCCTCCTCTTCTTCCTCTTGGGGCTCCTGGGTGTCGGCGTTAGCCCCTTCCTGTCTCCCCAACACCCCACCATATCCAGTCAGCAGGACCTAACGATTCTGCCCGCAGCACACCTGGACTCTCCACTATCCTCGCCCTACCTGGTCACCAACATGGGTGGGCATGGCAGCCGCCTTCTCACTGCCCTTCCTGCCTCCAGGCCACACACACAGTGCAGTCAGAGGGGTCTTCCTAACACATAAGCTGGGCCCTGCCACTCTCCACTGTCATGCTTCCTGCTGCCCTCTGGATAAAGTCCTGAATCCCCGCCACGGCCTGAATGGCCCTTCCCAGGCCAGCCCATCTCCACTTCTCTGGGCTCCAGGTTCATCGCTCTAAGACACGAGGGCCATCAAGTTCATTGCTGTCCACACTGCATCGCTGAATCCACAGTCCTGGCTCCAGCCCCTGGGCCATCTTGGCTAATAGCCTAGAAGAGTCCCAAGTCTTCAACTGCCTGGTCAGACCCCCATATCATCCCATCCCGGTGAGCCCGGGACCAAGTCCACGTCACCCACACCACGTCCAACACCTGATTGGCCCTCAGGCAAAAGAAAATCTTGCTTTGGCTGCCTGAATATTAGAGTTTACCCCCCAGGCCCTCCCTCCCTGGGTCTGACTGCTCTCATTTGCTATTTGTGCCTTAAACCAGAGCCAACTGCTTGGCCTCTTCTCTGCCTACAAAACATTTTTACCGATTTATGGCTGCAAAAATTTCCTTCCTGTCCTCAGATTCACAGGAGAGAGCCCTGGCCCTGACTCAGAATTGGATTCTAGCTGGAGGCGTCCTCTCCGTGCTGGCTCCAGAGAAAGGGTTTATCTGTTTGTTCCTTGACCTTGAGCAGCCGTTGAGGCAGCCAGAGAGAGGAGAGGCAGAAGCTGGGAGGAGAGCGAGGAGCAACCCTGGGGACCCTGCCCTCTGCCCCAAGGGACCCGCGAGCCAGGTGATAGGAAATAAGTCAGAGGGAGGAGGCAGCTGTGCTGTGTGCAGGGCCAGGGCCACGGAGGCCCAGGGGGACGTGAAGCAGCACCTCTCTGCTGTGGCTCTGCCAGTCCGGAGGCTGCACCCTGCCTTTCTCCACCCCTGGTCCCCGCCGGAAACTGGACAGAGAGCTGGAAGGAGACATCAGCCATCCAGGCAGGAGCTGACCCTGCCAGCCATTCTGGGGCAACTGTGGCTGTCACAGACCCTGACCCAGTGGAGGGAATAGACCCAGGCAGCCTGACCTTGTCCACTGTTTATTTTTGCCAAAATAATCTCATTCTTATTACATAAGTAATGTATGCCTATTGTAGATATTGTAGAAAATATAGATGAATCCAATGAAGAAAATACAACCACTCATTCTTTTTTTTTTTTTAGAGATGGGGCTTTTCCATGATGCCCAGGCTGGTCTCGAACTCCTGGCCTCAAGCAATCCACCCACCTCAGCCTCCCAAAGTGTTGGGATTACAGGCGTGAGCCACCGCACCTGGCCTAATACAGTCACTCTTTTTTTCTTTGAGACGGAGTCTTGCTCTGTCACCCAGGCTGGAGTGCAGTGGCATGATCTCGGCTCACTGCAAGCTCCGCCTCCCATGTTCACCCCATTCTCCTGCCTCAGCCTCCTGAGTAGCTGGGACTACAGGCGCCCACCACCATGCCCGGCTAATTTTTTTTGTATTTTTAGTAGAGACGGGGTTTCACCATGTTAGCCAGGATGGTCTAGATCTCCTGACCTGGTGATCTGCCCCCCTCGGCCTCCCAAAGTGCTGGGATTACAGGTGTGAGCCACCTCACCTGGCCAATACAATCACTCTTAATCCCATCCCTCGTCAATGATCCTCTTTGGCTGACCCCCTTTGATATTTGGAGGAGTTGGGTCTCCTCTCAGTCCTCTGTATCTGGCATTCACTTCTAGCCCTGCACACAGTGGACATGGAAGGATGACTTTATGGCTGATCCCTTATCTGTTTTTTCATTCTTCACTAACCCCAGGAGTATTCATTGAACCCTCAGGAGGTCACAAGTTAGTAGTGTTTTAAATTCTTTGGGAATAGACTGGATGCAGTGGCTCACATCTGTAATTCCAACACTTTGGGAGATTGAGGCGGGTGGATCACTTGAGCCCAGGAGTTTGAGACCAACCTGAGCAACAAGGTGAGACCTTGTCTCTACTAACAATACAAAAAAATTAGCTGGGTGTGGTGATGTGCGCCTCTACTCAGGAGTACACAGCTACTCAGGAGGCTGAGGTGGGAGGATTGCCTGAACTTGGGAAGTCGAGGCTGCAGTGAAGCGAGGTCATGCCATTGCACTCCAGCCTGGGAGAGAGTAAGACCCTATCTCAAAAGAACAAAACAAACAAACAAAAAATAGGCCAGGCTCTGTGTCTCACGCCTGTAATCCCAGCATTTTGGGAGGCCAAGGTGAGCAGATCACCTGAGGCCAGGAGTTCAAGACCAGCCTGGCCAACATGGCGAAACCCCATCTTTACTAAAAATACAAAAATGAGCCGGGTGTGGTGGCACTCACCTGTAATCCCAGGTACTCAGGAGGCTGAGGCAGGAGGATCACTTGAACCTGGGAGGCAGAGGTTGCAGTGAGCTGATATTGTGCCACTGTACTCCAGCCTGAGCAACAGAGTGAGATTCTGTCTCAAAAAAAAAAAAATAGAAAAAAAAGGCTGGGTGCAATGGCTCACGCCTGTAATCCTAGCACTTTGGAAGGCCAAGGCGGGTGGATCACGAGGTCAGGAGATCGAGACCATTCTGGCTAACACAGTGAAACCCCGTCTCTACTAAAAATACAAAAAAAAAAAAAAAAAATAGCCGGGGCGTGGTGGCAGGTGCCTGTAGTCCCAGCTACTCGGGAGGCTGAGGCAAAAGAATGGTGTGAACCTGGGAGGCCGAGCTTCCAGTGAGCGGAGATCGTACCACTGCACTCCAGCCTGGGCGACACAGCGAGACTCTGTCTCAAAAAAATAAATAAATAAATAAATAAAAAGTAATAAAATAAGCATAAGTAACTTACTTGGGAGTGGAAAGAGATGTGTGGAAACCCAGATTGGTGCCGGTGTAACCCAGATAAAAGCTGGGCTTCCACATAGCTCCGTCTCTGCCTCCTGGGACCTGATAATCCAACAGTCACAAGTAATTTAAACTAACTTTCTGAATGTCCTTGTGACTCCCAAAGAACCTCAAAGGGGCCTAATTCAAACCCCACAGCAATAGTTCTCACCAGGGCCCGTTTCCTTGCTCCGGTTCTCTCCGTAGACAAGCTGTTGTTTTGCACATGCCCAAGGCTCCCGAACAGTCCTGACAGCAGCCTGCGTCCTCTCGCTTTTCCCTCGGATATTTGTTATGTAATCTACACAGTGGGCAGACCCTTCCCCACCCCACCTTATGATCCATGCCCCTCTGGTGAGTGGTTCAGAGCCCATGCTCTGGAGCGAGACCCTCTGGGTCCAAATCCTGGCCCCACCAGTCACACTCTGTGACTTGACCCCAGTGCGTGGTCCAAGGACCCGTGCTGGGCCACACACTGTTTGTAACATGACACGCTTAGAACTGAGAATAAGCATTTAGTAACTTTCATAGCAACTTGACACTGCCTACATCCCATTGTGACCGTGTGTATTATAAAAATATCATTCCTGACAGATTGGAACATGTTTTCTCGAAGTTCCTTCATCGCAGATAGTTTGGAAGGCGTGGACTCAGCCTACTGTGTGCCTCAGTTTTTTCATTAGTGAAATGGGAATAATGATGGTCTCTAACCTCACCACATCCCTGAGAAGGTGTAAAGGCGTGAAATTAGGAAGGGCTCTGAGACTGGGGGCTGGTCACTGCAATCTCTCAGTAAATGTCAGTGTCACTATCATTTTGACACATTCTCCAGATTCTGCATTACAAGCATCAGATTCTCCTCTGAGGACAGAGGAGGGAGAGTTGGGGAGAGAGTGGACCCCATTCAGTGTATCCTTCCCCACCCCAAGTTCATATGGCTTTTAGCCAAACCTTGAGATTGGAACACCTCTGTCACTGCATCCAAAACCTTTCAGGTTTCCAAAGGGTAGTTTATTCGTCCACTTAACAAATATCTAGGGCCAGCACCATGGCTTACGCCTGTAATCCCAGCACTTTGGGAGGCCAAGGTGGGCAGGTCGATTAAGCCCAGCAGTTTGAGACCAGCCTAGGCAAGATGACAAAAGCTCATCGATACAAAAAAATGCAAAAATGGCCGGGCGCAGTGGCTCACACCTGTAATCCCAGCACTTTGGGATGCTGAGGCAGGCAGATCACCCGAGGGTCAGAAGTTCAAGACCACCCTGACCAATATGGAGAAACCCTGTCTCTACTAAAAATACAAAATTAGATGGGCATGGTGGCACATGCCTATAATCCCAGCTACTCGGGAGGCTGAGGCAGGAGAATTGCTTGAAGCTGGGAGGTAAAGGTTGCGGTAAGCCAAGATAGTGCCATTGCACTCCAGCCTGGAAAACAAGAGCAAAACTCCATCTCAAAAAAAAAAAAAAAAAAGCAAAAATTAGCCGGGTGTGGTAGCATGCACCTGTGGTCCCAGCTACTCGGGAGGCTGAGGTGGGAGGATCAGCTGAGCCCAGGGAGGTCAAGGCTGCAGCGTACCATGATTGTGCCACGGCACTCCAGCCTGGATGACAGAGAGAGACCCTGTCTCAAAATAAAGTAAAATGAAATAAAACTAAACTAAACTAAACTAAACATCTGTAGCTCACGATGAGAGCTGGAGAGTCCAGTGGTTAAGAACTTTAGAGCAAGATGGCCCCGGGGTCCAGTCTTGCCCTACCTGAATGACCTTGGGCAACTCACTTAACCTCTCTGAGCCACAATGTTCCCAGAAGATAGCCAGGAGGAGTCCTAAGCTCAGGACTCAGTTCAGGGCTGAGATTTGGCCGACAATGTGCACACACCTGCAGAAAGCCCGGCCACCCCAGGCACTCACTACATCCAGGTTCGGATTTGCAGGCTGTGGTGACCTCCCAGGCTCCCCACCCTCAGTGAGTTCTTGTGGATTAAGAAGGAATGGGTGGCGCCTTGAGATACCAGACTTGCCAGGTGTTACTTCTAGAAAAATAAATGAATTTAAGGGCTTTGAATATTTGAGAATGGAGAGATTTAAAAATATAAAGGTTTCTGCTGGGCGCGGTGGCTCACACCTGTAATCCCAGCACTTTGGGAGGCTGAGGTGGGCGGTTCACGAGGTCAGGAGATCGAGACCATCCTGGCTAACACGGTGAAACCCTGTCTCTACTAAAAATACAAAAAGTTAGCTGGGCGTGGTGGCGGGCGCCTACAGTCCCAGCTACTCGGGAGGCTGAGGCAGGAGAATGGTGTGAACCCGGGAGGCGGAGCTTGCAGTGAACCGAGATCACGCCACGCCACTGCAGTCCGGCCTGGGCGACAGAGTGAGACTCCATCTCAAAAAAAAAAAAAAAAAAAAAAAAAAAAAAAATATATATATATATATATATATATATATATATATATATACACACACACACACATATATATATACACATATACACATATATACACACATATATACACATATACACATATATACACATATATACATATATATACACATATATACATATATACAGATATATATATATAAAGGTTTCTTAAGATGGATAGAAGTCTTACCAATTGGATTTGTATTCTGTGGAACAGGGAGGCTTATCTAAGGTCTCTCTCTAGAAAACACAGCTCTGTTCAAAGGGAAAAGCAGGCTGGCCAACCCACGTGATGGCTCTTGAAGCTTCTCTTTTGAATGGCCTGCTAGGACTTGGGCTCCGGATTCACTGGCTAAAGCAAGTCACATGGCCAAACCTGATTTGGTGGGGAGGGGAGGTGTACCCAGCACTGGAGGCCCTGCACGTCGTGTAGCAATGGGGCAGGATGAATAGTCCTCTCACTGGGAGGACAGTGAATAACTGGAAACAGTGACCAATCTGCTACCATGCACCATCTTGGTTGCAATTATCACTCCTGTCTCTTGCGTGGGCATGGTGGATTGGAGGCGGCTGCGGATTCTTAGTCATTCCTCCCAGCAAGACATGGAGTATTTTTCTCCTCCCCTTGGATCTGGGCTGATTCCAGGACTGGCTTTCATCAACAGGATGTAGCAGAAGCGACGCTGTGTGAGTTCCCAGGCTGAGGCTGCAGAGATTTGAGGCATCTTCTCTCACCCAGCTTGAAGTCCTTCCCCTTGGAAGCCAGTCACCGTGAAAAAACTCACCATGCTGTGAGGAAGCCCAAGAGAGCTGCATGGAGAGAAGGGCCTGTGGAAGAGCTCTGAGGTGCCACTCACATGAAGTGAGCCTTTGTGGACCTTCCAGCCCAGCCACCAGCAAACACAACCCAGTAAGTGTCCCCAGTCAATGCTTCTCTCCATAGGAGACCTGTAAATGGGCGGTGGGGGGAGGAATTTTCTGGTCTCACACACTATTATGGGTTGAATTTTCCCCCTCCCGAATTCTTGTGTTGAAGCTCCCACCTCCAGTACTTTACAAAGTAACATATTTGGAGATAAGATCTTTTTTTTTTTTTTTTTTGAGACTGAGTCTTGCTGTGTCACTCAGGCTGGAGTGCCATGGTGCAATCTCGGCTCACTGCAACCTCTGTCTCCCGGGTTCAAGTGATTCTTGTGCCTCAGCCTCCCAAGCAGCTAGAATGAGTACCATGGTTGTAGGGAAAAGAAAGAGAGATCAGACTGTTACTGTGTCTATCTAGAAAGGAAAGACATAAGAGACTCCATTTTGAAAAAGACCTGTACTTTAAATAATTGCTTTGCTGAGATGTTGTTAATTTGTAGCTTTGCCCCAGCCACTTTGCCCCTGCCACTTTGACCCAACCTGGAGTTCACGAAAACATGTGTTGTATGAAATCAAGGTTTAAGGGATCTAGGGCTGTGCAGGACCTGCCTTGTTAACAAAATGTTTACAAGCAGTATACTTGGTAAAAGTCATCACCATTCTCTAGTCTCAATAAACCAGGGGCACAATGCACTTCGGAAAGCCGCAGGGACCTCTGCCCTTGAAAGCTGGGTATTGTCCAAGGTTTCTCCCCATAGGATAGTCTGAAATATGGCCTCGTGGGATGAGAAGGACCTGACCGTCCCCCAGCCTGACACCCATAAAGGGTCTGTGCCGAGGTGGATTAGTAAAAGAGGAAAGCCTCTTGCAGTTGAGATAGAGGAAGGCCACTGTCTCCTGCCTGCCCCTGGGAACTGAATGTCTCGGTATAAAACCCAATTGTACATTTGTTCAATTCTGAGATAAGAGAAAAACCGCCCTATGGTGGGAGGCGAGACATGTTTGCACCAATGCTGCCTTGTTATTCTTTACTCCACTGAGATGTTTGGGTGGAGAGAAACATAAATCTGGCTTACGTGCACGTCCAGTCATAGTACCTTCCCTCGAACTTAATTATGACATAGATTCTATTGCTCACATGTTTGTTGCTGACCTTCTCCTTATTATCACCCTGCCGTCCTACTACATTCCTTTTTGCTGAAATAATGAAGATAATAATCAATAAAAACTGAGGGAACTCAGAGACCGGTGCCAGTGCAGGTCCTTGGTATGCGGAGCGCCGGTCCCCTGTGCCCACTGTTGTTTCTCTATACTTCGTCTCTGTGTCTTATTTCTTTTCTCAGTCTCTCATCCCACCCGACTAGAAATACCCACAGGTGTGGAGGGGCAGGCCACCCCTTCAATGGTGTTGCACGCTAATTTTTTTAGCATGGGCTACTTTTTTTGTATTTTAGTAGAGACCTGGTTTCACCATGTTGGCCAGGTTGGTCTTAAACTTCTGACCTCAAATGACCCTCAATTTTTTTTGTAATTTTTTAGTTTGGGCTAGTTTTTTTTTTTTTGTTTTTGTTTTTTTGTTTTTTTGTAGTTTTAGTAGAGAGGGGGTTTCACCATGTTGGCCAGGCTGGTCTTGAATTTCTGCCCTCAAAGGATCTGCCGTCCTTGGCCTCCCAAAGTGCTGGGATTACAGGTGTGAGCCACCATGCCTGGCTGGAGATAAGGTCTTCAAAGTGGTAATTCAGTTAAAATGAAGCTGTCAGAATGGGCCTTAATCCAATATGACTAGTGTCCTTATAAGAAGGAAACTTGGACTCACAGACTGAGAAGTAAGGCAGGTGCGCACAGGGAGGAGGCCACGTGAGCACACAGGCAAGCCAGAGAGGGAGGCCTTGGAAAAAACCAACCCTGCTGGCACCTTGATCTTGGACTTCTAGCTTCCAGAGCTGTGAGAAAATAAATTTTTATTGTTGAAGCCACCCAATACATGGTATCTCGTTATGGTGGCTCTAGCAAACTAATACACGCACTCAACATACAATGGTGGAATAGGAACAGAATGATCCCCAAACACTCACCATTAGAAAGGAGAAGAACAAGGCTGGGCGTGGTGGCTCATGCCTGTAATCCCAGCACTTTGGGAGGCTGAGGAGGGCAGATCACTTGAGGCCAGGAGTTCAAGACCGGCCTGGCCAACATGGAGAAACCCGTCTCTACTAAAAATACAAAAATTAGCCAGGCATGGTGGTGTGCACCTGTAATCCCAGCTATTCGGGAGGCCGAGGCATAAGAATCGCTTGAACCCGGGAAGTGGAGACTGCAGTGAGCCGAGATTGCACCACTGCCCTCCAGCATTTAGGGAGGCCAAGATGGGAGGGTTGCTTGAGCTCAAGAGTTCAAGACCAGCCTGGGCAACATAATGAGACCCCATCTCTACAAAACAATACAAAAATTAGCTGGGTATGGTGGTGCATGCCTGTAGTCCCATCTACTAGGGAGGCTGAAGCAGGAGGATCACTTGAGCTGGGAGGTCGAGGCTGCAGTGAACTGTCATCATGCCACTGCATTTCAGCCTGGGTGACTGAGCAAAATCAAAAAAGGGTTGGGCGTGGTGGCTCACGCCTGTAATCCCAACACTTTGGGAGGGTGACGCAGGTGGGTCACCTGAGGTCAGGAGTTCAAGACCAGCCTGGCCAACATGGTGAAACCCCGTCTCTACTAAAAATACAAAAATGAGCTGGGCATGGTGGCAGGTGCCTGTAATCCCAGCTACTTGAGAGGCTGAGGCAGGAGAATTGCTTGAACCCAGGAGGCAGAGGCTGCAGTGAGCTGAGATCATGCCATTGTACTCCTGCCTGGGCAACAGAGTGAGACTTCATCTAAAAAAAAAAAAAAAAAAAAAAACACCCAACTTTCTTCTAGACATGGCTTTCTAGATGGAACTGTGGGCCTGTGATCTTTTCTGAAGTTTCAACAAAGGGCGTGATGGCCATACCCTTGGTATGATCTTTACCCTGAGACTGAGACTTAACTGGCTCTATCACACAAAGTGTTTCTTAGTTTTATTATTTTTTTCTTAAGCCTAGAATATTCTTTATTGACTATTTGTAGAGTACCCATTTTGAAGAGTCTTTACAGAAAGTTTAAGATTCATAATTAGCTGAGCATGGTGGCATGTGCCTGTGATCCTAGCTACTCAGGAGGAGGATCGCTTGAGCCCAGGAGGTCAAGGCTGCAGTGAGCTGTGATCACGTCACTGCATTCCAGCCTGGGCGACAGAGTAAGACCCTGTCTCAAAAAAAAAAACAATAATAAGAAGAAAGTAAGTTTAAAATTCACAATTAGAATTCTCGAATAATACATTTCTGGGGACAGACAAAGTTAAATTTAAAACTCTTATCTGCTCCAAGATCATATCATGTGTTCCAAGCACAAACATGTCAGAAATGTTTTCTAAAATGCCATTTGGCACTTGAGTCTTGCAGAAGCGACGAACTGCCAGAGGGGCAGGGACTGTGTCTGTTTTGCCCACTTATGCAAAAGAGCAGGATTTTCCAAAAATGGCCGTGGGTGCTCACTCTAGGTTGTCTGGGTGATAAACCAGCAGGGTGGGGTAAAGAATTGGATCGCACCTTTTTCCAACTCGGGGATAAGTGGTTTGTGCCCAAGCACAGCTTCCCTGGCCCACCCCAGCCTTCTCCCAGCTGGGGGCACAGCACCCAACCTCAGCCTCCTGCAGCACAGGTGGCTTCCTGCACATGACAGTGTCTGCGTCCTCCCACGGGCTATGGGCCTTTGGGCACTGGGCGCTTGGAGCACTCACTTAGTTGCTCTTTCATTGGACCGAGATGAGGAATAGTTGCCTTTTTCAATCCTGCAAATCCAACATTTCTGGATTTTCTCTTTCCCTTTTGTTTCTGTTTGCAAGTAGGTTAATTCCCTTATAGCACATCTCCTATCTGTGGGGCCCTGTGAAATGCAGCGTATTCGTTTTGAAGGGATGGCTTGCCCCCTCACACCTGTGGGCGTTTCTCGTCAGGTGGAATGAGAGACTTGGAAAAGAAAGAGACAAAGTATAGAGAAAGAAAAATGGGCCCAGGGGACCGGCGTTCAGCATACGGAGGACCCGCGCTGGCACCAGCCTCTGAGTTCCCTTAGTATTTATTGATCATTATCGGGCGTATCCCGGAGAGGGGGATGTGGCAGGACAATAGGGTAATAGTGGAGAGAAGGTCAGCAGAAAAACATGTGAACAACTGTCTCTGCATCATAAACAAGGTAAAGAAAAAAGTGCTGTGCTTTTGATGTGCATATACATAAACATCTCAATGCCTTAAAGAGGAGTATTGCTGCCAGCATGTCCCACCTCCAGCCCTAAGGCAATTTTCCCCTATCTCAGTAGATGGAATATACAATCGGGCTTTACACCGAAACATTCCATTGCCCAGGGACGAGCAGGAGACAGATGCCTTCCTCTTATCTCAACTGCAAAGAGGCGTTCCTTTTTCTTTTACTAATCCTCCTCAGCACAGACCCTTTACGGGTGTTGGGCTGGGGGACGGTCAGGTCTTTCCCTTCCCATGAGGCCATATTTCAGACTGTCACATGGGGAGAAACTTTGGACAATACCTGGCTTTCCTAGGCAGAGGTCCCTGTGGTCTTCCACAGTGTTTGTGTCCCTGCGTACTTGAGATTAGGGAGTGGTGATGACTCTTAACGAGCATGCTGCCTTCAGGCATCTGTTTAACAAAGCACATCCTGCACAGCCCTTAATCCATTTAACCTTGAGTCAACACAGTACATGTTTCAGGGAGCACAGGGTTGGAGGTAGGGTTACAGATTAACAGCATCTCAAGGCAGGAGAACTTTTCTTAGTACAAAGCAAAATGGAGTCTCTTATGTCTACTTCATTCTACACAGACACAGTAACAGTCTGATATCTCTTTCTTTTCCCCACACGTTTGCTAGGGCTGTGGTCACAAAGTCCTGGGTGGCTGGAACACCAGAAACACATTGTTTCACAGTTTGGGAGGCTGGGAATCCAAAATCGAGGTGCCAGCAGGTTGGTTCCTTATGACAGCCGTAGGGAAGGATCTGTTCCAAGCCTCCCACATTGGTTTATGGATGGCTTATTTCTCCCCGGGGTCTCCATGTCATCTTCCCTCTGAACATGTCTGGGTCAAATCTCCTCTTCTTTTTTTTTTTTTTTTTTTTTTTTTTGAGACAAGGTCTTACTCTGTCACCCAGGCTGGAGTGCAGTGGCACAATCATAACTCACTGCAGCCTCGAACTCCTGAACTCAGGCAATCCTCCCACCTCGGCCTCCCAATTAGCTAGACTAGAGGTGTAGCTTTTTTTTTTTTTTTTTTTTGAGATGGAGTTTTGCTCTTGTTGTCAAGGCTTGAATGTAACGGCGCGATCTCAACTCACCACAACCTCCACCTCCCAGGTTCAAGCAATTCTCTTGACTCAGCCTCCCGAGTAGCTGGGATTACAGGCGTGGACCACCATGCCCGGCTAATTTTGTATTCTTAGTAGAGATGGGGTTTCTCCATGTTGGTCAGGCTGGTCTCGAACTCCTGACCTCAGGTGATCCACCCACCTTGGCCTCCCAAAGTGCTGGGATTACAGGTGTGAGCCACCATGCCCGGCCAGGTGTAGCTCTTAAAACTTCTGCCGGGCCCTGACGTGTGGTCACTTCTGCGCACATTTTATTGGCCAGAGCAGGTCACATGGCCAAGCCTCATGTTGTTGTACCCAAGCGAGTTAGTGAGAATGCCACACTTTGAGACGAATTAAGAGTCCTTTATTAAGCCGGCGGCCAAAGAGACAGCTAACGCTAAAATTCTCTCAGCCCCGAAGAAGAGGCTTGATTAACTTTTATATCTAGGTTTAGGAAGGGGAGGGGAACTCAAATGCAATAATTCTACAGAAGTAAAAACACGCAAGAATCAAAAGAAGCAAAATCGTTACAGAGAGATAAGCAACTTAAAAGACAAATGGTTACAAGAAGAGCAACAGTACCAGGTGCAAGGCTCTAAATCTTTCATTATAATTAGATATAGGGTCTATGCCGGGCATGAACTCAAGGTTTTATGTTGTTATCTCTTGGAGAGAAATCCTGGGAACTTCATACATTGTTGGTGCTAGTACCTTATCAGTTAATCGGGCTCCTTTGAAATGCTGAGGATCTGTTTACACAGGCCAACTCCTTACTAAAGGGGGTTGAGTGAGGAGTCCTCAGTGTCTTGTAAATTACGGGGTCAATTGGAGTTTGTCCGGCTTTCCCAGCTAGAGAGAGTCTTATTTACAAGAGAAGCCAGGCTAGGTGATTAAAGAGACAAGCAGGACAAAATTCAAAGTAACAAGTTAGAGTAAAAACAAGGTTAGGCATTTCAGTGTCAGAGGGCGTGGAAGGGTGTTCAGGGGAAGCGGTGGTATAACCTGCTTAGGGGAAGGAATTGCTGGGCACAACGGCACCATCTACCATCCGGTTGGCACTGGTTAAGGTTTACCATGTGTGGGGCTTTGTGCCAGCAGCTTCACACCCTTAGCTCATTGACTCCTCATGTAGCCCCATTTTATAGATAAGAAAACTGAGGCTTAGAGGGGGGAGAGACTTGCTCATCGATCATAAATAAGATCAACTGACAGACTGAGAAAACCCTGAAGGTCTACACGCTTCTCAGGTCTTACCCTTGTTCCATCTTCTTCCTGAGGCCAGGGTGAGAAAATGCTTGGCTTAGATGTGGCCCACGCAGAGCACTCCCAAATGGTAGCAGAGTTAAAGATCTGAGTTGAGGCCAGGCATGGTGGCTCATGCCTGTAATCCCAGCACTTTGGGAGGCCGATGCGGGTGGATCACCTAAGGTCAGGAGTTTGAGACCAGCCTGGCCAACATGGCAAAACCCTGTCTCTACTAAAAATACAAAAATTAGCTGGGCGTGGTGGTGCACTCCTGTAATCCCAGCTATGTGGGAAGCTGAGGCAGGAGAATCGCTTGAACCTGGGAGGCGGAGGTTGCACTGAGTTGAGATCGCGCCATTGCACTCCAGCCTGGGTGAAAAGAGCAAAACTCCATCTCAAAACAAAGATCTGAGTTGGATGTGGGGGTGTCTTGAGCCAGCAATGCAGCTGCACACCCCACCAGGGCGCTGGAAGAGCTTGTTCTTGGAGAGCCCATACCCCACCTTTCAGCTCAGCTCAGCCTCCACCCTGCCCTGTGAATCTAGGTGTTCCCCAGAGCACACAGGGCCAAGGGAGGGCAGGGGTTTTACACAAGTAGATCCAACTCCTCCTGGAGGAAAGGGAGAGAAGGAGTGCATCCCAGGACCCTGTGAACCTGTGAATGCTCCTTTGTGGCTGAATCTCCCAGGCTCTAAGTGCCTCTGGGAGGTTGTGAATTTCTTGTCTGCTTGTTTGTTTCAGCAGGTGGGCAGGAGGCAGAAAATCTTATGTTCTTTTTATTATTGTCCTCATTTTACAGATAGAGAAACTGAGGCCCAGGGAGGTTAAAGCCACTTCCCACAGCAAGGGGTGATGATAGATCCAGGACTCAAGTGCAGCTGGGGCGGGTGCTGGGAGGCCTGGGCACTGAGGCCCCAGGTGGGCCTGTATTCAAGGAGGCTGGGGGTGGGGACGGATGAGGAAGTGGTGGTGCGGGTTGGGGGGGAAGTGGGGAGCACTTCTGTTTCTCCTAGGCCGCCAGGTCACAGAAAGACGGAGGGCAAGACAGCGATTCTTGGGGAGACGGATTTAGTCTAGGGAGTCCCAGATAGTGACAGAGAGAGAGTACCAGGCAGGGGCAGGAACCCATGTGCAAGGGACAGTGTGAGAAGGACACACACACACACACACACACACACCACCACATACTTTTTATGGTTTTGACACCCAACTCAGAGAAGGTCTTTTTATATTCAGATTTCTGAAAATGTCATTATTAGAAATAATAACGATGATGGCAAGCCTTCCCTGAGACCTCACAGCATTTCAGGAAACTCGCTGAAAGGCTTTGCCTGGACTCCCTCGCAGAGCCCTCACAGCCACCCTGGGAGGTGGGTGCCATTACTGTCCCCTTATTATAGATTGGGAAATGGAGGCTCCGAGGTGCTGGAGCTTGGAACCGATGGAGGTTGGCCCGACTCCATGAGCCACACTCTGAATGTTCCCTTTGAGGCACAAACAACAGAATCAAGAAGGAGGCTGGGCACGGAGGCTCATGCCTATCATCCCAGCACTTTGGGAGACCGAGGCGGGTGGATCACTTGAGGCCAGGAGTTCGAGACTAGCCTGGTCAACGTGGCAAAATCTTGTTTCTACTAAAAATACAAAAATTATCTGGCTGTGGTGGCGTGCGCCTGTAGTCCCAGCTACTTGGGAGGCTGAGGCAGGAGAATCACTTTAACCTGGGAGGCAAAGGTTGCAGTGAGCAGAGATCATACCAGTGCATTCCAGGTTGGGTGACAGAGCAAGACTCTGTCTCAAAAAGAAAAAAAAAGAATCAAGAAGGAAAGCCCTGCCTGCCTTGCCGCAGAGCTCCTGGCCTCCCGCCCTCCTCTCTGCTGAGTCAGGTGCCTGCTGTGGACTCGAGGCTTTGGGTTCCCCCCAGATGGCCAGATAGGGGCTTCCATGCTGTTTTCCCTGATGCCATTTCCCTCCTGGCCCTGGATTTTCAGAGCCCTAATCTGCCTTTCCCTATGAAAGGTGATGACGCTTCCCACAGCCACCCATGCCTCTCTGTGACTATCAGAGCAGGGGCCCCTCTGACACCAATAATGATGCCTGCTGTATGAGGCCAGCCTGTTCTCTGCAGCCCTGAGGTCAGAGGACAAAACTAGACACAACCTATGTGCCCATCCTCTGGGGATTGGATAATCACATGCAGGTACATGTGCACAATGGAATACTATGCAGCCAGGAAAAATAATGAGGTACAATAAAATGCCAAACATGAAATATAATATTGACTGGCTTTTTTCGGCAAGTGTGGTGACTTCCACCTGTAATTAATTCCAGCACTCTGGGAGGCCAAGGTGGAAGAACCGCTTGAACCCAGGAGTTTGAGAACAGCCTGGGCAACACAGTGAGACTGTATCTAGAAGAAATTAAAAATTCACCGGGCTTTGTGGCCTGTGCCTGTAGTCCCAGCTGCTAGGGAGGCTGAGGTGGGAGGATGGCTTGAGCTATGATCATGCCACTGCACTCCAACCTGGGCAAGAGAGCAAGACCCTATCTCACAAAAAAAGTTTCTGTAAGTATCTGTATTGACAGAAAAACCTCCACCCTGAATATGCTAATTACCCTGATTTGACCACTACACATTGTATACGTGTACTGAAATATTATACTGCACCCTGTAAATATGTACAATTATTATGTGTCAATTAAAAATAATAATACAACCCAAAAAATAGGATGCTGCACTAGAGGCTGAAGTTACACGGAAGAATAAGGCACAGTGAAAAACCAAACTCAACCTCACTTCAGGCAAAAGTAGGAGGTTTCATCAACACAGCCCAGGTTCTTTCCTCCGCTCCTGCTGTCTCGCTTCCTCCCTGGCAGAGGTGCTATGTGGTGTCTCAACGCGACTCCCTAAGTCAGGAACAAGCGAATTCTGAAATGAACGGTGCAGTCCTGACCTCGAGGAGCCTGGTCTCACTCTATGGAGTGAGACAGGTGGGCACATAAATAACAGAAAAAATTCATCACAACGACCGGGGGGCGGGGGCTCCTCCAAGTGCTTGATTCTCTGCCAAGGAATTCGCTGGCATTAACTCGGGGATCCCCGATGATAATTCTGTGAGTTTTCTTCTTTAACCAGTGAGGAAACTGAGTCTCAGAGAGGGCCCCAGGCAGCAGATTCGGTCTTGCCCTGGGGGTCTGGGTCTCAACTCCGTAGCCTCTTCGGGGAGAGAATCCTCTAGCCTCTGAGCTAGAGGCTAATCACCCCCCAAAAGCAACAGAGACAAAAGGCAGGGAAAGGGGGTGCACAGAGGGTGGAGGCAGGACAGGTCCCTGTGGCTGAGCCGCCTCCCTCCCACCTCCTGCCAAACACCACGCACAAGTGGATTTGGTCCTTGAAGCACACACCCGCTTGGGAGGTGCCATGAGCTTCATCTGAAGGTCAGAGAGGGGACAGTGGCCAAGGCCATCTGGAAAGTGCCGTGGCCAGGGTTCAAACCCTGGTCTGCCTGATTGCAAAGGCCTTGTCGCCCAGCGTGGGACCCAGCATCCAGTGCTATCCAGAGACCCCGGACCTTGGCCGCGCCGCACAGCGCTTGGCACGGAACATGTGCTGGATACGCAGTCAGCCTCCTTCCTTGTCCTCCTTCCGCCATCATGTGACCTTGACCCCACGGTTGTTTCCAGGCCTCAGTTTCCCCATCTGCAGAGGGAGGGGGTTGTCCTAGGGATGCCCTGGCTCCCCTGGAAGCCCCCAGTATCTTAGATTTCCACTGGGGAAGCCAGGAAGGGCAGGTAGGGCCACCTGGGGCTGGGGCAAATTTGGGGTCCAGGGTTGTTTTCTGGGGTGAAAGCTTGGAGCCCCAGGAGAGCCCCGCGGATGGCCCCCAGGTTCCCCAAGCCTGCAGCCCCGCTGGACCAGACTCGGGCCCCCACCCCGGAATCACCTGACACCCCCTGACCTCGGCGGGGGCAGGACCCCACCGGGCCGGCCGGAACCCCCAGAGCCTTGAAAAGCCTCCGGCCTCCCCGCCGCCATCGCCCGACCCACGAGCTGCGCGAAGAGCCACGGAGAGCGCCGGCGAGCGCGCAGCGAGAGTGGGGGAGAAATGAAAATGCTTTTCATCCTCCTTTCTTTTA
The DNA here is from genome assembly GCF_000001405.40 of Homo sapiens. Taxonomy (NCBI): domain Eukaryota; kingdom Metazoa; phylum Chordata; class Mammalia; order Primates; family Hominidae; genus Homo; species Homo sapiens. Next base: position 166,873 of record NT_187632.1, read on the forward strand.
AATGCTGAAACCAGCCTTGACAGCTTCTGAAAATAAATGGCACCGACTCGCTGGGATTTCAAATTCCGTGATTAAGGGCTAAAGCAAATACTTTTTCCCTCCCTCCGTGGGCTGATAAAGCGATGGCGGGACTGGGACAGCGTTTTGCGGGCCTACCAGGAGCTCTGATACGCAGCCTCCCGCCAGGCTGCGTGGCTGCTCGGCTCCGGGCCGTTTATCCGGCGCGCTCACGCCGGCAGCCGCGAAAGCAGCTTTAAATCCCCTGCCCGGCCTCAGCGTCCGCTCCTCCCGCCGGCACGAACGGCGGGTTCAGGCACGTGCGCGGGCGCGCACACACACACACGCACAAACACACACGCAACACAAGGCACACACATACACGTGTGCACCCAACGCACACTGAACAATGCACACACGCACGCGTGCACACACCCACACAAAAACATGCATGATATGGGTGCACGCATACGTGCGCACACTGGCACATACGCACACACGTGAACACCCGGCCCTGGTGAGTCTCTCGGCCTGTACTCCAATGAAAGGAGGAAGCCAAGGAAGGCTGCAAAGTTGCGGGGAATGAGAGAAAGGAGAGGAGGGGGCCAAGAAGAGAGAGGCTCTTCTGGGTTCACAGTTTGCAGGGGCTGTCTTCAGGCAGCCTAGTGTGGGGGGCGGCTATGAGGCACCTGCCAGGCGTGTCCTCCCTCCTTCCTCCCCACAGCGCTCACTCACACCCCCGACAGTGACTCCGAGCTGCCTCAGTGTCCCTCCTTCCCTTCTGGCTCAGGACTCTGCAAGGGGAACACATAGCTCTGAGTTATTATGCCTTTTTAGGGCTTGTATTGCCCATCTGGAAGACCTCCAGGCAGGATGCCCCGCCCCTCCTTGAACCTCACCTGTGAGGAGCCCACTCACCCAGGGTCACTCAGCTAGAAAGAGGGATGGTCGGGATCCTTGCTCTGGGGGGGTTGGGGGGTAGGAGTGGGACCCAACAACCTTCCTCTGGTTCTGCAAGAGCCACCTCTGCTTAGACAACCCTCTGAGTGCCCCCCTCCCTCCCCACTGCTGGGCTCCCTCTGCTGTCTAGTGGCAGCTGACAGATGGGTGATAACAGGTACGCCCAGGTACCCGCTAGAAGTGGCTCCACTCCCCGGACAGTCAAGCTCAACTTGTGGAGCTCCGACAGTGGGTGAGAGGTGCGGTGCCTGCTGGCTGCGTTACACAAACTGCCCAGCAAAGGGGAAGGTGGGCATCGCCTTCCTGGACAACCTCTGGAGAGGCATGGATGGAGACCTTCAGGCACACATGTCGAGGTTGGGCAGCGCTGGGGCAGTGGCAGGGCAGGGGGGTGGGGGTGGGGGGACGTGGTCCATAGGAATGCCAGTGGTCTCCAGCCACTTCTGCAAACACGGGGTACCCCCACCATCACTTCCCCTCCAAATGCACCCTGAATCCTGCACCTGCCCAGGGGTAGCCGCCTGCAGGAGATGTGCAGGGCAGGCTGGAGTTTGCAGAAACCCACAGGGACAATGATGATGCTGGTTCTGTTTGCCGGGCTCCATTCTGCTCTGGACATGCAGGCCTCAAGGAGTCCTCACTGTGAGCACACCTACTTTACAGGTGAGAAAAAAGTGAGGCTCAGAAAGTGACCCACCTAAGGTCTCCTAGCTGGGAAGAGATGGAGTGAGGATTCAAACCATCCCACATTTACCACATTCTGTCTCCAAAAAGCTGAGCTGTGGCAGGAGCCCCATTTGTTGTTTAGGTGAAAATGACGAGGTTGGACTGTACGTAAGTGCTGATATGTAACCACTTTGGCCTGTCAAAATGCCAGTGTTGTGAGAGCAACGCTCACGGCACAGCTGTTCAGTTGAGCGGTTTCAGTTCCGAGGGTGACTCCGACGACCGGGTTGCCAGATTGAACAAATAAAAATACAGGACACCGAGTTAAATGTGCGTTTCTAATAAACAACTAGTGACATTTTAGTTGAAGTACGGTATGTCCCATGCAAATACTTACAGGACAAACTTATTCACAGTGTATCTGAAACTCACATTTAACTGGGCGTCCTCAATTTTATCTGGCGACTGTATCTTGGGGTTTCCTTTGAAGACAGACTTCGAAACTGGGAGCTTTTGGATCCAGAAACCCAACAACAGGTGGGAAGCAACACTGATATGGCTGAAATCAGGCCTAGTCCGGAGAGATGAAGGAGTCCAGGCTTGGAGGCTGAACTGGGCTCCCTCTATTCCTGCTTAAGGATCTGAGCACCGAGGACCAGAGTAAGTCATGGGAGCCGGTGATTCCACACACAGACTTGAGGGTAGGATGAAATGAATTAGCCCATGATGGACAGCTGAGAGATGCTGGGGTGGGTGGGAGATGCCATTGACTCTGAAGGTTGCCACCATTAGAACACAGCTAAGACTTTCCAGTAAACTGTCTGCGTAGTCTCTCAAACATGCATTCCAACCCCCTTCCCTCTGGCCTTCCTCTATCATAGAATGCAGAAAATTAAAATACTCAATTTCCCAGCTTCCTTTGCGGCTGGTAGTGGGCATGTGTCCCAGTTCTGGCCAGTGAGATGAAGGCAGGTGATCCCGACGATAGTTTCCCTTCCTGAATTAAAAGGCAAAGATTCCAAGAAAAATATACTTGCCTGGAATGTGGACGTGGTGGCTAGAGGTGGAGCAGCCATCTTACGACTGTGAGGACAAAAGTCAGACACCAAGGCTGCAAGGAGGAAGCCAGGGATGCCTGGGTCTCTGGGAACTCTTGTATCAAGGCTGCCACAGCCCCAGACCACCTCCCTCGACACGGTACACACACACAAAGAAACTTTTCATTTGTTTAAACCATGTTTGGTGGAGTTTTCTGTTGTCTGTAGCCTAATGCAAATCCTGGCAGATTCATCCATCTTGGGGCCTGAGGGAGGATCCCAGACCCTACAGACCACAGTTTGGACGTGGGTGAAAATTCATTGTTTTGTATAAAGTGTTTGCCAGGCACTGATGGCTACAGTAACCCTGGGACAGATGTTCCCAAGTGCTCCATTAGGACTCAGTGCCTGGTGCTTGGCTGTGGCAAATCTTTCTAAGCCCTCCAGCATATGATACAGTGTGTGGTGGTCACCAAATGCACTTTTTGTGTGAAGATGTTCCTTTATTCTAAGATTATGTCCTTCATACTTTTTGGGCTTTAAAATGCAATTTGTTTCATGAAATGATGTGATAGTTGATGGTGAGGTTTTTTTTTCTTTTCTTTTCTTTTTTGAGACAGGGTCTTGCTCTGTTGACCAGGCTACAGTGCAGTGGTGTGACTGCCACTCATTGCAGTCTCGACTTCCTGGGCTCAAGTGATCCTCCCACTTCAGCCTCCTGAGTAGCTGGGACTACAGACGTGTGCCAGCACGCCCAACTACTTTTATATTTTGTAGAAACGGGTCTCACTATGTTACCCTGAATGGGTCTCAAACTCCTGGGCTCAAGTGATCCCCCGGCCTCAGCCTTCCAAATTGTTGGGTTTACAGGCATGTACCCGGTGATGGTAAGATTTTTTTTTTTAGACAGGGTCTCATTCTGTCACCCAGGCTGGAGTGCAGTGGCCCAATCTCAGCTCACTGCAACCTCTGCCTCCCGGGTTCAAGTGATTCTCCTGCCTCAGCCTCCTGAGTAGCTGAGATTACAGGCACCTGACACTATACCCAGCTAATTTTTGTACTTTTAGTAGAGACAGGATTTCACCATGTTGGCCTGGCCGATCTCGAACTCCTGACCTCAAATGATCCACCCAGATGGTGAGATTTTTAATGTGTGTGGTTTTGTTTTGTTTTTGTAATAAAAACTTGGCATGGTTATTATCAGTCCCCCAATTTTCTCTGGGAATTGCAAAGGTCCCTGGGAGTCCCAAGAATCCTTCAGCTCTCGCGCACCCAGGCCTAGCTGGGAGCCCAGAAGACAGGGAGGAGAGGCAGCCCCTGCTAGGAGCCAGCAGCAACGGCAGTGGGGGTGGATGGCCCAGGGGCAGGCGAGCATGATTCCAGATGCCTGCACTTTGGGTCCCAAGAGCCTGGCACTGGGAGAATGTTCCCAGGTGTCTGTGCCTCCTGCTGCCCCTGCCCCACGTGCTCAGGTGTCCCCAGAGGAGCTGGAACAACATGTTACAGTTCCCCAGGAGGTATGGCCCCTGAGCACGCTGTGTTCTGGAGGCCAGCGAGAGTGTGCCAGGCTCTGGCCAGTGGACCGTGGGTGCACACCTGCTCCAAGGCCCAGCGGCTTGGCAGGTCCCTGCCAGGAACAGCCATGCTCAACTCAGCTGGACAGTCAGCCCAGCAAGCTCAGAGATGGCCAGGGAGAACAGGAACTCACAGGAGAGTCCAGGCCACCCCAGGGCTCTTGCAACAGGCCCCAAAGACCCAGTGATGGGGAGGAGGAACCTGGAGAGAGGGATGGCAGAAGCAGCATTTGGGAAACTGCTCAACCGGGGAGATAAAAGATGAACACTGTGCTACACTCACAGCATTTTAAACCTTGCAGCTCCCAGCAACTCTGCCCTAATGAGAAGCAGGAAGAACTGCGGCAGGCAGGGAAGGGAGTTGCTTGGAGGTGCGGAGGATGGGAGGGCAGAGAGCTTAACCAAGTCTCTGTGCTTTGCCACCCTGGGAGCCATCCTGCCCCTCAGAGACCCCCGCAGAGGGTTTCCAAGCAGGGGAGAGCATCCAGAATTCCCAGGCTGCATTTTGGGCTCTGGTGATACAGACTGGAATGCAGCTGAGGGTTACAGCCATGAGGGGAAAATGCGGGGTACAACTGTGGGATGCGCCCACCATACCACGCATCATGCCGGAAAGGTCCTGTAGCGGTTATAGCAGGACCCAGTACCCCTGCTTCACCCCATGCCCAGATATCAAGATCATGCAGCTGGGGAATAGCAGAGGGGCTCCTGGACGCTCTTCTTCAGGGTGAGGCCGGCTTCATCAGCTTCAGGGATGTCTAGGGCTGGATGTCATAGCACCTCATTAAATGTGTCTGCTTTTTCCATCCTTGTCCTTATCCCTAGCCCCAGTTCCAGGCCCAGCCTGCTTTTAACAAGACAGTGAAGAGTGGCAGTTAAAGGTCTGGCTGGCATCAGACAGTGCTGAATTCAAACACCAGCGGAGCTGAAAATGGCCTGGCTGGGTGACCTTGAGCAAGCAGCCTGCCCTCTCCAAGGCTATTTATTTTCTGGAAGGGGAAGATGGTGTCTACTTCCAACAACTGCCACGATGTTTTAGGTTCAGCCCAAAGAGTGAGCAGCCAAAAAACAGTGCCGAGAAAGGCCTCTGGCCGGCCAGGTAGAGAGAAATGACCCAATTCCTTCCAGAAGTTTCCAATGTTTCCAAGCCGATGGAGCTCCCGGGAGACACCTGAAGATCTCTTAACATTCAGGGAAGCATGGGGTCTGCTCGCATTAGGGAGGATTTGTTTTATTTTTAAAGGAGTTGAGGCCACTTTGCAATCAGAGCCTTCATGGCTGGGGCAGGGAGAGCTGAGGAAGGGGTATTAATCAAGGCGCTTTAAGGACATGCAAATGAGGAGAACGCTCAAGTGATTAGGGTGTGATGGGGCCTGGAGTCCAGCCTGTATCCCCATGTGAGAAGAGAGAGTCAGAGAGCCAGGCAAGGTGGCTCAGGCCCAGCTGGGGGTGGCAGCCAAGGGGCTGCCATGAGGTCGGGAACGGTGGGCGGGGAGCAAACAGAGGCAGAGGGAAGGGAGCCACTCCAAGGTGGCTGAAGGGTCCCCGATGGCCGCGCTGTCCAGGTGGTACTCTGGCTGGCTTCCCCGCCTCCTCCACAGCTGCAGAGGGGCCGCTCTGCCAGGACCCCCTGCCTGGCTGGGACAGGCCCCTCTTCCCAAGGATACAGAATGACTATTTAGGTGAGAGGGGCCCACTGGCGCTGCTGGGGTGGGGAATGTGATGTTGGCGATCTGCGGTATCTTCAGGGTGACAGCCATGCCCAACGCGTGGGACCTGGCTTCCACATCTATAGACCTGACCTAAGGAAATATGTGGGCGTGTGCATAAGGATGCCATCTCAGGACTGCGTATTAATAAAAAGCTGAATCAAACAGTGTCCAACAAGGGTGGCTGTTCCAGCTGGTTATGGAATGTGTTTACCATGGACTTCCAGGTCCTCCTGAGAAATGACGACCTAGATGTGGGAAGATGGTCTCAACGTATTGTTCTGCAAAGGAGAAAAAAAGCAGGTTGCAAAACACTGGGAACTGTCTGCCCATCTTCGAAAAGTAAGTCATATATCTAGAAAAATCTGGAAGGGTAGTCACAAAAACATCATCAGTAGGTACTGTGGAGAGGGTGGATTTCACGTTATTGTTACTTTCCCCTTTTATATTAATTTTTGTGCAATAAACATGTGTATTTGTAATCAATAAAGCCAACTTCTTTTCTCTTTTCAAGAAACTGCTCTCTTGCTTGGCCTCATACCTCCCCCAATCTCCTTAATACAAAATGAAAGATTCCAGTGGACCCTGAGAGGGACACCCCCGCAGCCCTCTCAGGGGCCCCCTTGCTAGCACAGAGCAGGTCTCCACCACCCAAGGGGCAGGTAGACCAGGGATGGGGGTCGTTGACAGACCCTCACCCTGCCCCATGCTTTTTTTGGATGATACAGAAAAAAAAAAAAAAGGTATGCAATGATCATTCCATACAAGGTATTGGTATAGGTCCTATGTGGGTCCAAATTCCTTCTCCTAAACCCCTGGGCCAGAGCCGTTAGGGACTCGAGTTGTTCTGTGTAGAGATGTAAAACGATGTCTATAGCATAGATTAGGTTACACCTTAAGCAGGGCTGGGGCAGTCCCTATAATCAAACACATTAAGAGCTCTGCAGTGAACTGTACAAATGTTCACATGAAGGGGAATAAATAAAACTATAAATAGCTTCCCGTCAGCTGAGGTCAGGTTTTGCCTCCAGATGAATTTACCACCACCTTAACAAAAGGACTTTGGTTTTTCAGACTTCTGTTAATTGCAGAATTCCAGTTAGGGGATGGGGACCAGATGAGGATGGTGGCTCTCAGGTGTGTTGGTTTGGCTGTCTCCCTGCAGGGTCTCCCCAGCAGCGGGGCTGGCTTTGTGGGAAAGCCACTTCCACAGTCACCCAGCGCCCCATACGTGGTTGATTGTTCTGTCATCACCATCTTGAAATTCTCAATACTTGTAATTTTTTATTTTTTCAGTTGTCAAATGATCCTTTATTGAAATATTTTCCTTTGTGCTTAACTGGCTGGGCATTCCAGAGCACCACTGTTGATGTCATCGATGATGTCATGAGGGTGGCGGCCATCAACATTACAGCCCACAGACTGGGCAGTCCCCAGGATCTCTTTAATGGTTCCAGAGAGTTCTCTGGCTAAGGATCGGTGCCGCATCTGTCGAGCAATGTTGACGATCTCATCAAAAGTGATATTCCCACTGTGTTTAATGTTTTTCTGTTTCTGTCTCTTGGTGGTTCCTTGAGGGCTTTGATGATCAGGGCAGAGGCAGAAGGCACCACCTCAATCTGGGCCTGTCTGTCCTGAATGGTCAGTTTCACTGTAATCCTCAGGCCCTTCCAGTCACCCGTTGCCTTGGCAATGTCATCACCAACCTTTTTTGGAGACAGACCCAGGGGGCCGATCTTGGGGGCCAGGGCAGAAGTGGCACCGACTTCACCTCCGGTGCACCTCAGGTATACGACTTTGATCACGTTGGGGTCGAACTTCGGCGGCATGGTGGAGGCGGCTGGTGTCGGATGAACCCAGATTCGGGACGACCGAACAAAGTTGCACCTTGGCCTCCTCCGAGCCGAAAGCCGAGAGAATACTTGTAATTTTACCGCTCCGAATTTTCCTTTTACGCAGGGCCCAGGAAATCACGTAGCCAGTCTTGCCAGCATCCAGAGCAAAGCCCAGCACAAGGTAGTTGCCAGATGGATGGATGAATGAATGAATGAATGAATGAATGAAATGTCATCTCGTTCCCTCTCCACTCAGCCCCTTCCTGATTTTCCACTATCCATCAATGGAGACTCAGCAGGGTTCTTGAGTGCCCTGCTCACCTGGAGAGAATGTGATGCCCGTACTGATCCCTGGGGCACTCAGACCCAAAGGCAGTAAGTGCCACATAAATGGAGTTGTCGTTGTTGGTGTCACACCTTCCCCCTGGGGCTGTGGCCTCAGCTGCTGCACTTTCCCCAGGGATGGATGGCAGGTGAGCCTTGCCAGGGGCTGGAGGCCAACGGGGTGGAGGAGGAGATGGCAGGGGGGGATGAAGTCAGGAGCCTGGTGGATGGAGTCCAGGCACATCCTGATACCAATTAAAGCAGCTCTGGCACAGGAGGCCTTGGATGGCATTTATTAGCCCGCGGGGGAGGGGCCGGCAAACTGTCCTCCGGCTGATGGATTAGACAGTAGGCAATTAGGTTTCAGGCGGGCGCTCTCCCTCTGCCTCTCCATCCCTCTCTCTCTCTCTCTCTCACACACACACACACCACACATACACACACTCACCACACACACACACACTCACCACACACACACACACACTCACCACACACACACACACACACACCCCTTTCTCCATCCGTCTGCAAGGCCCAGCGAGAGAGCCCAGCTGGGTCTCTGCTGAGCCCCAAGTGATAGGAACAAAATAGATACAAAGCCCCCTCCCTGAGGGGGAGGGTCCTCAAAGAGAAGAAGGGAGCCCCAGGGACTTCTCCACCCAAAGCTATGCCCGTGGGGATCACAGCTCAAGACCCCACAGTCTCAACCCCAAGCATCACTTCCAACAGGACCAGGAGTGGGGGCGTTCCCGAGAAGCCAACATGCAGGAGACAACAGCGATGGTCATTTCCAAAGCTGAGGACATGGAACGGAGCCAGATGGAGGTCCCTTCCTCCCCTGAGAAGGAGAATCTCCCCTTCACAATCAGAGCCTTTGATCCACAGATCACAACAGGAGCAATGTGTGAGGCAAGGACAGCGACATTGAGGGGCTTCTCAAAGCTGCAGGAAAAGTCCTCAAGATTGTAGAATGTTTGGCACTGCAGATGCTCTGGGATGAGTCAAGAATGCTAAGAAGGAAGGATGTCCTGAACCCTGCTTTGGGAAATGCAGAATCAGGTGAGGCCTTCAGGCAGCTGGTGCCCATGGCTGTAGGTCGTGTCTCTGTTCTGCCCCAAAGGCAGGCTCAACCTCTCCAAGGGGTCTCAGATGCTGTGGCCAGCGGAGGCTGCAGGGCCTTCCCGCTAAGACCATCCCAGGCGCCCGACACTGGGTAGGCTCAAAGCTGAACTCATCAACCTCCCTACACAGGCAAATGGCACCATTGTCACCCCAAGTCCCTGTCCAGAAAGCTGGATTTTAGCTTCATCTCTTCCTCTTCCTCACCTTCCACAGCCTTCATCATCATCAACTCCTGTCCTCTAAGACAGCTTTCAAACCCACTCTTCTCTGGGTGCCCATGACCATCACCCTCACCCAGTCTGACCCCAGCCACCACGTCTTGTCCAGATGCTCCCTCAGCTCCCAGCCTTTCCTCCTACTCCAGTTCCCCACACAACAGTAGAAGTGTCATCTAAAACCCCTCCAATCTCGCCATTCCCCTGCTTCAGAGCCCTCCGTAGCTCCCATTCCCACCCGCCTCAGGAGGAAGACCCTGCACCTGACTGCAGCTTCCAGCTTTGTCTCCCCACTTACGGTGGGGTCATTGGCTTCATACATTCTTCACACTCAGCAATGATCTTGTTTATTTATTTGGTTACTTAGTTGATATTAGCTCCCCTCCATCTCTCACCAGAATGTTATTTGAAAGGACAGATGTCTCTCTCTTTTTTTTTTTTTTGAGACAGGGTCTCATTCTGTTGCCCAGGCTGAAGTGCAGTGCTGTGATCATGGCTCACTGCAACCTCTACTTTCTGGTCTCAGTGATCCTCCAACTTCAGCCTCCTTAGTAGCTGGGATTACAGGTGCATGACACCATCCCTGGCTAATTTCAAAAAAATTTTTGGGGAGAGGCCAAGGTGGGCAGATCACCAGAGGTCAGGAGTTCAAGACCAACCTGACCAATATTGTGAAACTCTGTCTCTACTAAAAATACAAAAAATTAGCCAGGTGAGGTGGCACACACTCATAATTCCATCTACTCGGGAGGCTGAAACAGGAGAATCGCATGAACCCAGGAGGCGGAGGTTGCAGTGAATCGAGATCGCGCCACTGCACTCCAGCCTCAGTGACAGAGCAAGGCTCTGTCTCAAAAAAAAAATTTTTTTTTTTTGGAGATAAGGTTTCACCATGTCGCCCAGGCCGGTCTTGAACTCCTGGGCTCAAGTGATCCTCCCACCTTGGCCTCCCAAAGTGCTGGGATTACAGACATAAGCCACCGAGCCTGGCCCTGGCAGATCTCTTTTGCTCATGCTTGTCAGCATCTGTCACCTTGCAGGAACTCTCTGCACCTGTGGAGTGAGCAAGGACGTGGGTCCCACGCTTCAGGCTTGTCTCTTGATTCTGTTCTCTCAGACCACACCCCATGGCCGGCTGTTTCCTGAAGACCACACTCGTCTCACCCTCTGTCCTGATGTCTGTGATGCACCCAGGCTCATCACACCACCCTTCAGCCATCAGCTCCTGCTCCCACCTCTAACCTCAGCGCAGAGGCCACTCAGTCCCACACGTACCAGCTGGACCCATCCACCTTCGACAGCCACTGAGGCAGGTTGGCCAGCTTACTTTTTGGGCTCTCCCACCCCACAGAGGCTTCCTGGGGCCACCTCCTTCACACTGCCTGGCACACAGTAGGTGCTCAATAGATATCCGTCTAAAAAAGCTACTGGGCCCAGGCCGGGGGCGGTGGCTCAAGCCTGTAATCCCAGCACTTTGGGAGGCCGAGGCGGGCGGATCACGAGGTCAGGAGATCGAGACCATCCTGGTTAACACGGTGAAACCCCGTCTCTACTAAAAATACAAAAATGTAGCCGGGCGTGGTGGCGGGCGCCTGTAGTCCCAGCTACTTGGGAGGCTGAGGCAGGAGAATGGTGTGAACCCGGGAGGCGGAGCTTGCAGTGAGCCGAGATCGTGCCACTGCACTCCATCCTGGGCGACAGAGCGAGACTCCGTCTCAAAAAAAAAAAAAAAAATGCTACTGGGCCCAGAACCCTGGCTCTAACCCCAGCACAGCTTCTGCCTTCCTCTAGCCTGGGCTCCTGTCTGCCTGGGCTGCCAGGGGCCAGGAGCCAGTGTGGACACAACCAGGCACCAGGCTGAGTGACACAGGCAGAAGGTGCTCTGGGGACACCTGTAACCGGGGACTTTGCACTGGAAAAGGGGCAAAGGCTTCTGGGATGAGCTGGGCTTTGAAGGGCAAGAGGACAGGCTGGGGAGAAAAAGCAGAGAATATTTTATTTTATTTTTTTAGAGATAGGGTCTCTCTATGTTGCCCAAGCTGGTCTCCAACTCCAGGCCTCAAGGGATCCTCCTGCCCCAGCCATCTGAGCAGCCTGGATTACAGGTGTGGGCCATCACACCTGGCTCTAAAGAACAGAGACTCTTACGTTCATTAATGAACATTGTATGCTGGGCACTGTGCGGGGCACTTTATACAGGTTCACATGTTCAGTTCCTGTGACAGTCTTTTGAATAAAGTTTTACCTCCACTTTCCAGAAGAAGGGCGGCTACAGAGACATGAAGCCACTTGTCCCAGATCCCACAGCTGCCTGCAGCAGATCCCAGGCACGGCCAGTCCCAGGGCCCTTGTCCTTTCGCTATCTACCATGCCACCATCTATGTGCCAGCACCTGCCCAGGCAGCATCCACCTCGCTGGTGTCTGGGCAGAGGGAACCCATGTGAGCAAAGGCCCAGGGGCTGGATATAGCCTGCTGAGCGGGAGGCGGAACACACCTAAGAAGGTCGAGAATTAAATTCCCAAAGGTCGGCAGCTGTAGGGAAAAGAAAGAGCGATCAGACTGTTACTGTGTCTGTCTAGAAAGGAAAAACATAAGAGACTCCATTTTGAAAGAGACCTGTACTTTAAACAATTGCTTTGCTGAGATGTTGTTAATTTGTAGCTTTGCCCCAGCCACTTTGCCCCAACCACTTTGACCCAACCTGGAGTTCACGAAAACATGTGTTGTATGAAATCAAGGTTTAAGGGATCTAGGGCTGTGCAGGACCTGCCTTGTTAACAAAATGTTTACAAGCGGTATACTTGGTAAAAGTCATCACCATTCTCATGTCTCAATAAACCAGGGGCACAATGCACTGCAGAAAGCCGCAGGGATCTGCCCTTGAAAGCTGGGTATTGTCCAAGGTTTCTCCCCATGGGATAGTCTGAAATACGGCCTCGTGGGATGAGAAAGACCTGACCGTCCCCCAGCCCGACACCCATAAAGGGTCTGTGCTGAGGTGGATTAGTAAAAGAGGAAAGCCTCTTGCAGTTGAGATAGAGGAAGGCCACTGTCTCCTGCCTGCCCCTGGGAACTGAATGTGTCGGTATAAAACTTGATTGTACATTTGTTCAATTCTGAGATGAGAGAAAAACCGCCCTATGGTGGGAGGCGAGACATGTTTGCACCAATGCTGCCTTGTTATTCTTTACTCCACTGAGATGTTTGGGTGGAGAGAAACATAAATCTGGCTTACATGCACGTCCAGTCATAGTACCTTCCCTCGAACTTAATTATGACATAGATTCTATTGCTCACATGTTTGTTGCTGACCTTCTTCTTCTTATCACTCTGCCCTGCTACTACATTCCTTTTTACTGAAATAATGAAGATAATAATAAAAACTGAGGGAACTCAGAGACCGGTGCAGGTGCAGGTCCTTGGTATGCTGAGCTCCGGTCCCCTGGGCCCACTGTTGTTTATCTACATTTTGTCTCTGTGTCTTATTTCTTTTCTCAGTCTCTCATCCCACCCAACTAGAAATAGCCACAGGTGTGGAGGGGCAGGCCACCCCTTCAGCAGCAAATTCTGGGGGAAAGTGGGCTGGTCCCTTGCCCTCTCTGTGCCTCAGTTTCCTCATTTGTAAAATGGGGACATAATAGTACCTACTTCGTAAAGAGGATAAATATCTTAAAGCACTTAGAATGGTGCCTGGCACAGAGAAAGCACTGTAGAAACAGTTAAAAATAAATAAACGTGGTAGGAACATGGTGGGCCCGAGTCCAGGAGGAAGGTCAAGGAGCTCTCTGGCTGTCAGTGACCAGGAGGCTTGGCAGGTCCTTGGCCAGCTAGGGGTGGCAGCCATGCTTTTCTTCCCCCAGCCAGTGCCCGAGGCAGGTCTTTGGAGCTGCCAGTCTTGAGGACCACAGGGAGCCCAGTCTTGAGGACCACAGGGAGCCCACTCTCCCGTGGTTATTGGAGGCTGGAGCTGCAGGGAGGTCCCTGGGCCTCACTCCCTTCAGAGTCCAGGGTGGGAGGGGAGTAAGCGCCCTTCTTCCCTTCACTCGAATGAGCCACATGTGCACCCAGGCTCCTGGGTCAGACCCCTAGGAAATGAGTGGGGGTGAGGAAGGTCCCCTGAGGATGAGTATAGATTGTTGGGGTTGGGGGTGATTTCCCCATCAGGACCCACCTCAATTAAGGTCCGTAAAATCATCAAGACTCCCCAAGGTAGAGGGGCGGCGGGAGATCCTGACTAGTGTCACAAGGCTGTGTGCTTTTGTTTTGTTTTGTTTTGAGCCTGGGTCTCACTCTGTCACCCAGGCTGGAGTGCAGTGGTGCAATCTCGGCTCACTGCAACCTCTGCCTCCCAGGCTCAAATGATATCTTCTCGCCTCCATCATTCATTCATTCACTCACTCACTCATTCAACAAACAAACAATGGGCACCTACCCACCACGGGCCAGGCCTGCCTGGGTTCTGGGGTTCAACTGTGAGTGCACAAACACACTAACAGCCCTTGGAGGACTCACAGTCCAGGGAGGGAGGCAGACAGTGAAGACAGTGAAACATCGAGCCGGTTCATTGCCACTGCCATCCGACCCTGAAGGAGAAGTGCAGGATACGTGTGAGAGTGGAACAGGGCCCTGAGCTCCACCCGGGAGTCAGGGCAGCCTCCCCTGAGACCATTATGTTGAAGGCTGACCTGAAGGATGAGTAGGGTTATCTGTGGGGCTCCAGCAAAACACGGCATCTCTCTGGGCCTCAGTTTCCCCATTGGTAAAATGGGGAAACTCATCACAGCACAAGTGCTTAGGGGACCTTGGTGATTCTGTCGGATCTAAGAAAAGCAACAGGTGCCGGGTGCGGTGTCTCACGCCTGTAATCCTAGCACTTTGGGAGGCCGAGGTGGGTGGATCACCTGAGGTCAGTAAGTAGCTCAAGACCAGCCTGGCCAACATGGTGAAACCCCATCTCTACTAAAAACACAAAAATTAGCCAGGCGTGGTGGCTCTTGCCTGTAGTCCCAGCTACTCAGGAGGCTGAGGCAGGAGAATCACTTGAACCCGGGAGGCAGAGGTGGTAGTGAGCCGAGATCATGCCACTGTACCCCATCCTGGGCCACAGAGCAAGACTCCATCTCAAAAAAAAGAAAGAAAGAAAAACAAAGGGAGCCTTTAGGAAATCCCGCACAGGTACTGATTTGCTCTGTTAATTCCTCCAATGGGAAAGGGGTGTTGCTAGAGGCAAGAGGCACAGTCCTGACACAGAGATCAGGGATTTGACCCCAACAGGCCAAAGTCAAAAGCAGAGATCAGTGAAGTCAGATCCCACAGAGGCCTGTGGCCATGTCCCCCGGCCCTCTGCAGGTCCCCTGGCCCAGAGCCCTCTCCTCCTGCTGCCCTCTAATGTTTCTCCAGGCCCTTCTGCTCTGTCCCGTCACTCTGTCCACCTCATCTGTGGTGCCTGAAGGTCCCCTCTTGGGCTGTGGGTGTCATTCTTGTCTGATCACCGCCTCCCCCACCACACACACCGCCAACCCCAAATACAGGTTTGGCTTCCACAAAGCCTCTTATTAAGAAATTGGTCAATTTCCTGCTAATTAAAATAAATAGTATGCCACATTAAAGGCCAGTTAATTTTCAGAGCTGCCAGGGAAACATCGCCTGGAAAATGTACACCCCCCTGCCCCACCCGCTCCTTGGCAAACGGCAGCCACGTGGCACCCAGCAGCAGCGGGGAGGGCCCGGTGGGTCCCAAGCTTCCAGCAGCATGGGGAGGAAGGGATGACCAGCTGTGGACAGGGCTGCAGATGGGTAGAGCTTCCTGTTCCTGGGGGGACTCCACTCACTCAGCCCAGGAGCTCTGAGACCCCATCCCTCCCCAGGAAACCCAGTTCCTGAGGCCAGGTCTACCTGGCTTACCTTGCAACCAAAGGCGAGATCTTTCTCCGGAACCGGGTCATTTGTTGGTGAGGAAGATGGACTTCTGGGAGGCCTGCACTCACAAGGCTCTACATCCCGAAGTGATCTCACCAAGGGGCACAACAGCCTGGAGAGGGAAGTGCCATTGCTCCCATTTTGCAGATGGGCAAGATGAGGCCCAGAGCCACCAAGCCCCTCTCGAGTTGCAGCTTCTGGGGGCAGAGCAGGATGTACATCTGGTCCCGCCTAACTATACCCAGAGAAACCTGCCGTGGGCCCTTCTCCATCACACATGGTCATCCCACACTATCACAAAGGTCAGGGGAACTGCTATGTCTGCATAAAAACAAGTGTCATCAGTTGGATTTGTTCAAGGTGAGGCTTACCTGCTCCCTAATATATCGAAAGCTCCTGTTGAAGGAGAGTCAGGGACATGCCAGGAGGCCTGCCATGCTGTGACCAGTTGTCATCTCACCGAATCCTCACCAGTACCACGTGGCTCAGCAAGGTTAGGTAACATACTCAAAGTCACACCGCCTGCCCCCAAATTAGTCATGGCAATCTCCTGTCTTCAAGGTCCAAGTTTTGCTGTTTCCTCAGGGTCAAAACCAAGGTCTTCTCCTGTCCTGGAAGAACATCAAGCCATAGATGGAACGCTGCGTTCCTGGTGTGACCTCGGACAAGGCTCTTTGCCTCCCTGGGCCTCAGTTTTCTCATCTGCCAAATGGGAGGGCTGGACTCACTACTCCCTCAGACTCTATTTAACTCGAGCATTCTGCAGGGACTCATCCTGGGGCAGGTGGGGTCAGAGGGCAGATGGCCAGGAGCAGAGCCAGATGGGAGCAACAGCCTTCCCTCTGCCAGGACAGGGAGAGACCTGGCTGCCTCACAGTGAGAGGTCTGGCAGCCAGGGAGGGCACTGGGGACAAGGGCCCAGCCGGGCACCCTACGGAGCACATGACCCCCACCTGTCCATGGAGCACACGACCTCCACCTCCAGCTGCCCCTGTGCTGCAGACAACTCCCAGGGTGGCGAGGGTGGCATCCTGATCCCAGCAGCGCCTGCAGGACTGGGAACCTGCTGCCCACCCACCCCCTGCCACTTGCTCTCCCTTCCTTGCCCAACCCCAGGAGCTCAATGCCTGCTCAGGGCAGGAATAAGAGGCAGAGGAGGGGTGAGGAGAGAAAGGAGTCATTAGGGGCCTTGCTGATCCTTCGTGGCGCCTCCATGTCCCTATCCCTCATGCAAAGCACTAACCTGGAGGCGGAGCATTTCATCGAAGCAAAGCATCTCCTGCCACCAAGCACGTCCACGGTGTTGGGGATTGATTGCTTCTATCCTCCAGCCCACTCTACGGAGCACCCACCGTGTGACAGGCGCGGCGCTGGGCAACGAGGATAAGAAAATGAATAGGCCACGACATGTGCGCCTGAGAAGTCACAGACTCAGACGGGAGACAGGCTCGATACCACACACCAAGGTCTGGATGCACACAGGACACTGAGTAACTCCTGCAGGGTGAGCGGGTTTCCAGGGCACTCGACAACCGGCAGAGTCTGGAAGCAGCCTGGAGGGGAAAGGGCATTCCTGACGGGGGCACAGCAGAAGCAAAGGCCCAGTGGCATGAAAGACCAAGGAGTGTTGAGGGAACAGAGAGCAGCTTGGTGTTGGGGCGGCATCAGCGGGTGGAGCTGGAGCCGATGAGAAAGGATAGGCCAACTAGGGTTCAAGTGGCCAAGACCTTCTATGCCCTGCTCTGCCAGTTACAGCCAGCAGTGGTGGTAAGCACAGCCACCCGGCACTGAACAATGGCAGTGTGGCCGGCACTGTGCTAAGCTCATCTCAGTCACTCGCTCACCACATCCTCCAACGAGCCCATGAGGCCCAGAGAGGTTAGGCGAGTTACTGGTGGTCACACAGCCGATAGTGGCCAGGCTGGAACTTGGACTCAGGCTCCCAATTCTCACCCACCAGCATGTGCTGCCTCTGAGGAGTTTGGGGTTCCCCTTCAGGACAACTGGGAGTCACAAGGGATTTTTAAGGGGGGTGGGTAGCAGAGTCTCAGTGCCCTAAATCCCCAAGTCATGCTCATGGAGAAACTGCTGCATCCACCTGGGAGACGTGGCCAGTCTGTTTTTAGGGTCTGAGGGTCACCTTGGCCTCTCCGGGAGCTGCCCTGGTTTCCCCAATGCTCCTGAGTACTGGGGCTTGGCCTGCGTCTTCTGCCCCAGCCTGCTGCTCCTGGGTTCCAGTCTTGGAGCCAGGGGTCATCACTGCCAGGGCCTCTTCAGAACTCAGGCGCCCACCTATCAGGGCCTCAGCCCCTCCAACACTCCCTGGGGCCCCCACATTGCCCACCCTCTCTTCCCTCTGCCCTTCCTTGCTCGAGATAACACCTGGGATGGGGGTGCATGGGGAAGCGCCCCCTGATGGAGCTAGACAGCCCTCGGGAGGGAGTTAGACAGCCCTCGGGAAGATCCAGCAGTGGTGGCCTCTCCTTGCCCTTCCCCATGTCCTCCCTCTCCCCTCTGCCCACCCAGCCTCCCACCACATGGGGCACTGGAGTGCTCCTTCCCACCATCTGCCCTCCTGGGCTCCGCTTTCATTCTGCTCCCCCGACCCCAGGTCTCAGCATTGCAGGCATCACAAGACAGCGGATTCCAGAGGCCCCAAAACACTTCCATCCTCCAAGCACGCACTGAGCATATGGAGAAGCTGAGGCCCAAGCAGGGCCAATGGCAGAGCAGCTGGAAGCCCAGCTCTCTTGTGCTCTTGCTGCAGCTCCAGCTCCTGGTCGGCCGTCCACCAGGCATCTGCTGAGCGCGATGTGTTTCCATTTAGGGGCATCTCACACTTGATCCTCACTCCAGCCCAGAGGAGGCTGGGTTAAAACAGGAAGGCTGGGCTGTCCAGCTCTAGCTCCTTCTAAAAATGCAGTGAGTCCCATGTTGGCATCTCTGCTTCGCAAACAGGTAAAACGAGGCAAGCAGTAGGTCAATGACTTGCTGTCTCTGGTCGTGTGTCAGGCAACCACAGTCACACAGTCACGAGGGTCTCCTGTCTGAGATCCTGCCTATTCTTTTTTTTTTGAGACGGAGTCTTGCTCTGTCTCCCAGGCTGGAGTGCAGTGGTGCGATCTTGGCTCACTGCAAGCTCCGCCTCCCGGGTTCACACCATTCTCCTGCCTCAGCCTCCCCAGCAGCTGGGACTACGGGCACCTGCAACCACGCCTGGCTAATTTTTTTGTATTTTTAGTAGACACGGGGTTTCACTGTGTTAGCCAGGAAGGTCTCGATCTCCTGACCTCGTGATCCACCTGCCTCAGCCTCCCAAAGCGCTGGGATTACAGGCGTGAGCCACTGCGCCCGGCCAATCCTGCCTATTCTTTAGTGTTAGGGCCAGGAAATGCCTTAGTGTAGACTCCTCTCCCTGTGAATGTGGCAGACATTACTAATTGATCACAGCACTCTTTCCCTCTAAGCCGAGATGTAGTCTCAGAATCCTCAACACAGCCTCTATTAAATGGGGACCTGGCAATCGAGGTGACACCTACCTGTTCAACGCCCTCTCTGGAGGGCAGGATCCTGTCTTACCTAGTATCTTCCCCAGCACTTGGCTCAGGGCCCAACACGTGGCACAGATCACGGTAATAAATTTTTTTTTTTTTTGAGTTGGAGTGTTGCTCTATCGCCCAGGCTGCAGTGCAGTGGTGCGATCTCGGCTCACTGCAAGCTCCGCCTCCTGGGTTCACGCCATTCTCCTGCCTCAGCCTCCCAAATAGCTGGGACTACAGGCACCCGCCACCATGCCTGGCTAAGTTTTTGTATTTTTAGTAGAGATGGGGTTTCACCGTCTTAGCCGGGATGGTTTCGATCTGCTGACCTCATGATCCACCCGCCTCGGCCTCCCAAAGTGCTGGGATTACAGGCGTGAGCCACCTTACCTGGCCATTTTTTTTTTTTTTTTTGAGACAGAGTTTTGCTCTGGTTGCTCAGGCTGGAGTGCAATGGCACAATCTCAGCTCACTGCAACCTCGGCTTCCAG